>NC_000009.12:36828181-36979696 GCF_000001405.40 Homo sapiens | reverse complement strand
CCAGGGCTCTCAGTCTCACCTGGCCTGATAACTCTGCTGTGTGACCCTGGGCAGGCCACTTTCCGTCTCTGAGCCCATTTTCTCATCTGCAAAATGGGAATCGTAATCTCCTGCCCATCTCCTGAGATTATCAGGAGAATCAGATAAGCTGATGAATGTTTCATATGCCACAGGAATATGTATTTGAGGGGTGCGATTGTTATCATTTTGTCGCTGTTATCCTTTTCAGATGTCTAGGCATGCACACTTGCCAGTGTAATACAAGAATATGCCCCTATAAGGTACAGAGCCCAAACACGTCAATTTAACTACATAAAAGGGAAATAATTGTGCTTCCATGAATAATGAAGAGCCCTTCTTATAATTTGTGCTTGTTCAGTTCCACACCCTCATAAATCCACCATTCCTGTGTGTGTGTTTGGTGGAAAAACACACCACAGACATACACAAAAGCCTCTTGAGTTCTTTTCAACTGGGACAGGAGATGACACACGTTGGCAGACAGAGGCTGATCTCTGTGTATCCAAGAGGAGTCGAGCCAGTCCGAGTACATCTAACAGGTCAAGCTCTGAAATGAAGAAGCAATAAGCCAGTGAAATGGTACTATCACCGAAACATGATTGATCAATTGAATTCTATCAGAGACAGTGGACAGTGAGATTAACTCAGGCCTGATAGGTTCAATGAGTTAAAGCATGATGTTCATTTCAGCTTCATTTCACCAGTCTTTGCTTGTGAAATTGGTCAATCAATAGAGGTTGAAGATCATATATATATATAGATATCGGGGACCATCTTATGGGGAATATAATCTTGGTAGTTGGCTCCTGGCTGGGGCTGCCTGCTGCGGGTAATGGAGACAGAACAGGGACTCCATCAGCCCCATCGAAATGGCCTGATATCTTCTCCAAATGAAAAGTATTTTTGGATCTCTGATGATTTATCTTTTTTTTCCTCCCTCTCACTTTGATCTATGACAAAACCCATACCCATCTTGGAGAAATTTAGTGATTTCTCCTGAAAACATTTGTGCAATGATCAGATAGATACACTTCAAATACGAACCTTCTTTTTAGTTATATCGTCCTTGGGAAAAAATACAGACAGTAATTTAAAAACTCAAATAGGGGTAATGCAAAGATATCAGAGTAAATATGATTTTTAAACCCTTTTATTTATTTATTTATTTATTTCTGTGCAGTGGGGGATGGGAGAGAGACTGCTGTGTGCATGAAGGCCATAAAAGGGATGTATGCATCCCTTCCAGGTCCTTCCAGGTATAATTAAAATGAAGCCTTTCACATTCTTTGATCTCATTTAAAAGCACAATTCACAGAAACAAATCACCCTTTTGCTCCTAGTAATATTTCATTTGCTTCAGAATATTTTCACTATGGCGGTTAACATCCTTTCTAATTAGTGTGCATATCCCTCTGTAAGGTGGAGTAATTAGGGACTACTGTATGAGGTAATGGACTTGGACAGTATGGATTAGAGAGAACAGACTTGCCCTGTGGCAATGCACCAGGTATTACTTCCTTTCTGCCTCTTGTTTCAGGTCATCTTGATTCATTTTAGCACAGAGAAATCCCATCTCTTCATACCAACACCATGAGAGCTTCAATAATGTATTTGCACTGTTTGTATATCAGAGTGTATATTAGGTTCTGGATAATGGATAGTGATGCTGAACAGCTCGACAGAGAGGGAAGAGCCTCTCACACTTCACTCCCTTTCCCCTCCTCCAACTCCTGAATTCTAATCATGCTGAATTATAGCCGTTCCCCTGCACCATGCTTTCTGTGCCTCCAGGCTGTTGCAGATGCTGTTCCCTCTGGTTGGAATGCAATTCCTCTTCCCTGGGCATTTCTTTGGCTAACTCCATCCTTAAGACTTAGGGTAAGGCTGGACATGGTGGTTCATGCCTGTAATCCCAGCACTTTGGGAGGCCAGCCTGGCCAACATGGTGAAACCCCTTCTCAACTTAAAATACAAAAAATTAGCCGGGTGTGGTGGTGCATACCTGTAGTCCCAGCTACTTGAGAGGCTGAGGCAGGAGAATCGCTTGAACCTGGGAGGTGGAGGTTGCAGTGAACCAAGATGGTGCCATTGCACACCCCAGCCTGGATGACAGGGTGAGACTCCATCTCACAAAAACAAAACAAAACAAAAAAACCCCAAAAAAAACAAACAAAAAAAGACTCGGGCTACAGGGGGCCTTTCTTGGGCTACACTTGCCCCTAGTCTGGATTAAGTGGAGTGAGTTAGTGTAGGGCTAGGAGCAGACTCTGGAACCAGACTGCTTGAGTTCGGACCCTAGCTTCTCCACTTCTTAGCTGTGTGATCTTGGGCAAGTTACTCTTTTTTTTCTTCCCTCCCCCCACCCCCCCAATCTTTAGATCTTGTGACTAGGCAAGTTATTTAACCCCCTGCCTCAGTTTCCTCATCTGTAAAATGGGAGGAAGCAATAACAGACTTGACATCTTAGGGTTTTTGTGAGGATCCAATAGGGAAGGTGCTTAGAACAGTGTCTCGCAGAGTGAGCTCTGAATAGGGTCTGGCCACTTGCATTAGGCTCCCAGGGCTGTGTCTGCTTCTCAGGCTCCTAGCACTTATCGCACTACATTGCAATTATTCACTTGTCTTCATCCTCCAGTAGGGGACGGGGCTAAGACTTGAAGCTCTCTCTAGCTCTGGTGGGAAGGGCAGGGCCAGATACCCAGTATGTAGCTCAGGGATCAACGGATCCAGGAGGCTTGAGGCAGGAGTCAGAGGCCTCATGTCCAAGCTCACCTTGAATCTGCTGTCTGGCCCCTGACAGATCCCTTTGCCATCTGGCCTCCCGTTTGCCATCCTCGAATGTGGAATCACCAGCCCTTGGGGCCTTTCCCACACTGACAGCCTGTGACTCATTGGGTAACACCCGGCACAATCGGATTCACTCTGGTCAAACCTGAACGTATTTGGCAATTTTACAATTTCGCATTTTCCTTCTCCAAGAAGAAAGATTGAGTGAAACAAATGGCTGAATAATGGTAGTTTCAGTGGAAATTTTCCTCCATGCCACCTTGATTTTTCTTAGTCTGCAGCCCCAGTTTAGGACAGGATTTAGAAAATGACTCAGAACATTTGTTTTTGTTCCAGGCTACCAAGGGACATTTAGAGCCTGGCCACCCTCATCCCTAGCATGGGGCCTGGCTCATAGTAGATGTCCTAGAAGCGTTTGCCAACTTAACCTGGTTGCCTGTACCCGGAATCCCATCTCTTACCTTGGCATCTTGTTTCCCAGGCCTGGCTCTGATCGTCCCTTCTCCAGGACCCCCCTCCCTGTTGTTAGTCATCTCTGGATCACTCTAAGCACCCCAAACAGCACCATGCAGAGAATAGAAGCTCTGTAATGAGTTTGAGCTTGAGTCTGTGAACAGCATTTTGTTGTTGTTGTTGGACTCTGAGCAATATATGACTTGCTGCATTTTCTTTTTGGTATATGCTGCCAGGGAGCTTAGAGCTCAACTGAGTTTAGTAGTTTATCATCCACTCTAGTTCAAAATTCTATGAACAGCCTCAAATCTGTCTTAGAAGTAGGCGAGACATAAACTCTTAGTTGTTTCACTTTTTCCTCCTCTGAGATCACTGATATAATAGAAGCCACTCCTGAGTTCTCTGATGATACCAGCGACTGTCCTAGTGCTGAATTCTTCTGAGCCATACAGCCCTGCAAGCCCTCAAGCCTTCCTAGCTTAATAATTCAGTCAACAAACATTCATTAGCATCTCCTATGCTTGAGGTAAATGGGACATGGGCTCTGCCCTCAGCTCATACTTTAGCAGGGGAAAAAAATACTAATTCTGGAAACAGCTAACGTTTATTGAGCACTTACTATGTGTCAGGGGTTATGCTAAGTATTTTACATGTATTCTCATTAAATTATTTTGTCAACTCCAGATACTATTATTATCCCACTCTACAGATAAGAAAATTGAGGATTAGAGCAGTTAAAGAAGTTGCTCAAGGCTGGGCGTGGTGGCTCACACCCGTAATCCCAGCACTTTGGGGGCCCAAGGTGGATGAATCACGAGGTCAGGAGATCAAGACCATCCTGGCTAACACGGTGGAACCCCGTCTCTACTAAAAATGCAAAAAATTAGCTGGGAATAGTGGCGGGCGCCTGTAGTCCCAGCTACTGAGGATGCTGAGGCAGGAGAATGGCGTGAACCCGGGAGGCGGAGCTTGCAGTGAGCCAAGATCACACCACTGCACTCCAGCCTGGGCAACAGAGCAAGACTCCGTCTCAAAAAACAAAAAAAAAAGAAATTGCTCAAATATCATGGGCTTGTGAGAGACAGAGTTCTGGAATTCGAACCCGGGCCCCCATGAGTTCAGAGTGCCTAGGCTTCCCCACTGTTCTGTACCAGGTCTGCCACAGTGCCCAACTTCACTTTAGCACATGTAGGAGCTGTGCAAGTGCTCTGCTGTGTTATCTTGGGCAAATTACTTCATCTCTCTGTGCCAGCTTCCTTAACTGTAAAGTGGAGGTTCCAAGAGGACTGAGTTCACAGAATGGTTTGTGAAGAGTAGAATCCAGGCCATAGTGGTGGCCCATGCAACGTGCTGAGGACACCCAGAAGAAAGGGTGGTGAATTCAGCCTTTGGATTTGGAGGCAGGCTTCAGAGAGGAGGCAGCTTTTAGACTGAGTCTTGCTGGGCAGGAGAGAAGGGCATGCCAGCAGAGGGAGCAGAATGTCCAGGGGCACTGGGGAGCAGTGGGGAAGAGACACATGAGGGCTGACAAACGGCCTGCTGGGATGGCATTGCGGGGTGAAGTGGGGGGTGACCCTGACTAGAGGGGCAGGTCGTCGAGGCCTCGGGGGCTCAGGCTTTGTCCCCGGGGAGCCTTGGAAGGGTTTTCTTGATGAAAATGAGGATGACAGCAGCTAGCATTATTTGGACACTAAACTCTCTGCCAGGTGCCGTGTTAAAGTGTCATGGAGATTATCTCATTTAATCCTTATAAAAGCCCCACGAATTGTCCTGCATACTGTTGTTTTCAGTTTACAGATGAGGAAACTGAGGGCTTTCATCTTAGCAGCTGACAGGAAGAGTAAAGGGAGGTGTCCTGAGTGCTGAATCTGCAGATAAGAGACCTAGGTACAAATCCCAGCGTTGCCACTTTGAGCTGAGGGACCTCAGTGACTCAAGCTCTCTGAGCCTCTGTTTTCTCATCTGTAAAGTGGAATAAGAATACATACTTCATAGAGATGTTCTGAAGGTCAAAGAAACTGAAGGATGCACAAATAACTTGGCTCAGTGCCTGACACTGAACAGCGCTCTATCCGGGGTGAGAACAGGGGGTGTGGGGAGCTTTGCAGCCCTGTTATCTAATGTCAGCCCCACTTCATTCTTTGCTAGGGACAGACAATGCTCTCTCAGTCTCGCACAAGGAGTTTTGCTAACATAGCCCCAGAACAAATCCCTTGGCTTCCTATCCCTTTTAAAAAATTATTTGGTTTTTTTTTAGAGACAGAGTCTTGTTCTGTCACACAGGCTAATGTGCAGTGGCACCATTGTAGCTCACTGAAGCCTTGAACTCCTGGGCTCAAGCAATCCTCTTGCCTCAACCTCTCAAGTAGCTGGGACTACAGGCCTGCACCACCACACCCCAGCTAACTTTTAAATTTTATTATTATTATTATTTTTGAGACAGAGTCTTACTCTGTTGCCCAGGCTGGAGTGCAATGGCATGATCTTGGCTCACCACAACCTCCGCCTCCTACGTTCAAGTGATTCTCTTGCTTCAGCCTCCCGAGTAGCTGCAGGCATGTGCCACCACACCTGGCTAATTTTTGTATTTTTAGTAGAGACGGGGTTTTACCATATTGGCCAGGCTGGTCTTGAACTCCTGACCTCAGGTGATCCGCCTGCCTTGGCCTCCCAAACTGCTGGGATTACAGGCATGAGCCACCATGCCCAGCCATTTTTAAATTTTTTTTTTGTAGAGATGGGGGTCTCGCCATGTTGCCAAGGCTGGTCTTGAACTCCTGGCCTCAAGTGATCCTCCCACCTCAGCCTCCCAAAGTGCTGGGATTATAGGCAGGAACCACTGCTCTCAGCCTGAAATAATCCTTTAAAGTTACAAATTAGCATGGTCTGAATTTGGTGGGTGTCTACTTTATAGGTTGTTTTGAGAATTAGCCATTGCAGCCACCTGAAGATGCCAATTCCAAGCTCATTGGACTCACTTGACCCAAACTGGAAAAATGCCCCAAGTCACATCATTTCATCTTGCCAGTCACCCCAGCTCTGTACTCCTGTGGCAGATGACCATCAGGACCTGCTCTGTCCCCCATCTTCACAAGGGAGGCAAGTCTAGGCATGCAGGCAGTGCCAGAGGCCTGTGGTTACAAGCAGCAAACTGGGCCGATCTAGAGACAGCCCTGGACCCTGGGGTAAGGTGGGGGTGTTGTAGTGCATAAAACAGGAATGGGATCTGGGAGTTATTTTCACAGTTTTTCCTTTCCTTTCCTTTCCTTTCCTTTCCTTTCCTTTCCTTTCCTTTCCTTTTCTTTCCTTTCCTTTCCTTTCCTTTCCTTTCCTTTCCTTTCCTTTCCTTTCCGTTCCGTTCCGTTCCTTTCCTTTCCTTTTCTTTCTTTCTTTCTTCTTTTTTTTTTTGAGACTGAATCTCGCTCTGTCAGCCAGGCTGGAGTACAATGGCACAATCTCGGCTCACTGCAACCTCCGTCTCCTGGGTTCAAGAGATTCTCGTGCCTCAGCCTCCTGAGTAGCTGGGATTACAGGCTCCCGCCACCACGCCTGGCTAATTTTTCTATTTTTAGTAGAGACGGGGTTTCACCATGTTGGCCAGGCTGGTCTCGAACTCCTGACCTCAAGTGATTTGCCTGCCTCGGCCTCCCAAAGTGCTGGGATTATAGGCATAAGCCACCGTGCCCAGCCTATTTTCATAGTTTCAAACAGCTTAAGAGTAAATATATCCCTGTGAAGAAAAAGGATTTATTCCTGTCTCTGACTTTCCCCCAGCACTCCCACCACCCCCAACCAACAGGCCTCTCATCACAGGAGTGCTCATTCAAGAGGATGGGATCCCCTTGGTTGGCTCAGGCAGTCTCTTAGCGGTGGGATGGATCATAGCCAGGGAGTCCCCTATAAAGACTGCACAACAACCAAAATGGGAAAATAAGTCAATGCTCATTTAATACTACTTAGCACACAAAAATCTAGGTGGATTTTGGTGGAGAAAGGGGTTAGAAATGACCAACTCAGCTACCTTAGCTTACTACTGGGGTCTCTGAGGCTCAGAGAGGGAGAGGAACTTGCCTGGGCCCACACAGCAAGTAACAGCAGAGCTGGGGCTAGAACCCGGGACTGCTGGCTCCCAACCCTTTTCCCACTGGGCCCTGCCACGGCCCTGCCATGCTAAGGAGCAGCTGTGAGGATGAAGGAAGCTGTATAAGGGCTCTGGCTTTGGCCTGGGTTCTGCAGAGAAACTGGACTCTGAGAAAGGCTGGAGGCTGACCTGGCGGCTCTAGCCTCTTTTCCTGGGGCTCTTCAGCCTCCAGATGGGGTTACATCCCAAAAGCCATGATGCTAGGAGGGATTTCAGAGATTCCTGTTTGTTTTTATATTTTCCTCCTAGTGAGCATCTGCAGACATAAAGCGCATGATGATTTTTAAAGAAACAAACCAGAACCCTCCAAGAAAAATGCAAAACCCCTGAATCTGCTGTGCTCTGAAGAAAATGCAATGGGTTTATGATCTTTTAAGACACACAAGAGACAGCTTTCTCTTGACAGATGGGAATCTGAGGCTATTTTGCTTCTTCCCTTTTTGCGTGACCAGACCCGATTGTGTAAAGCTTTTAGCTTCAAAGCTGGGTTGTGAATAACATTGGTTTAACCTGAAATTTAAAGCCAGCATTTCTTTGCTCCCCGAGACGGGGCTTCCTGCCCCTTGCTCCCCTGAAGCTAGCTTCCAGAATGTTAATTCTACGAGCCATGGTTGACTAAGCCCAGCACTGGGTCTATTACATATTATTTGACTTGGAGTAGAAAAAAAAGATTTAAAGATACCATGCCCCCTGTACACCTTTGTACTTTTGCCCGTGTCTGTCCATATATTTAAGCATACCATTCACTTTGTGAGTTCAGACTTTTCTCCCTGGAATAAAATGGGTCTGAGCATTTCTGTAGCCTGCCTCCAAGACCACATTCTCCAATTAAGTCAGACAGCATCTTCATGGTGCAGATGAGAAATGCTACGGAAGCTTACACTGGAGGCCTGGAGGTTCAGACCTGCCCTTGTGCAAGGGCTGAGTTTTGGGATTAATTTTTATAGCTGTCTCTGAGCATATAATCTGTTTGTTGGTTCATTCTCACTGAGTACCCACTGTGTGCGACACCAGAGGCAGGACAGAGGGTCCCCTCTTAAGACCATGCGCCTTTTCAGTCAGAGTACTTATCTTGGTTGATACTTGTACCTTTACTAGTCCGATTATTTTTCAGTTACTGTTTGCCACCTCCTCTGGACATAACTCCATGAGGACAATGGCTGGCTCAGCTTTTGCCCATCACTGTGTCCCTGGCATTAGCACTCACTAAGCTTGGTGGAGGGAAGAATGATGAATGTGTGAGGTCAAATGGAGGGATCCTGACATTTTCAGACAGACATGCAGAGTGATGGTGCTTGTCACACTTGTCACAGGTAGTACCAATTCATTCATTTATTCCACAGATATTCGCTTTGGAGGAGAGAGAGATGAATTACCTCCCACCTTTACCCCGAAGGTAGCTCATAGCACAGTGTGGGAGTGAAGGGCCCAGGGGATGTGGTTCCTAAAATAAGGGAGAAAGTGGTCAGAGCCCTAAGAATGGGAGCTGGAGGACCAGCTGGGGCATGAAGGAAGGCATCCTGGAGGAGGAGACATGTGTGCTTCTGGCTGTGTCTGGAGAACAATGCCCGTGTCCATGGGAGATGGTTTCCATTCCATATGGGCACAGTGAATCACCTGCGGCTGAACAGGTGACTCAGCAGATCCACCTTCAAACACCCACAAATGCAAGCTCCTACCTCCCCTGGCCCCTAGTTTCTACCAAAAGAGGAGGCTTGGGAGCAGAGTTTAGAAAGCATGGCCTGACCTGAAGGAACGAGCGATTCGGGCCCTGGGACTGAGAAATGTGGAGGGCACATGTTTCCCCAGCCCTTCCCGTAGCTCCTCAAGACTCCTGCAGCAAGGCTCAGATCCTCTCTCTGGCCCCTGGGGCTGTCTGGCTCAATCCCTCCCAGCCTCTCCAGATTCTCCTGGGGCCTCTTCCCTCTCTCCCTCTGTTCCTTTCACCCCCTTCTCTCAGGGCCTTTGTACGAGCATCTCCTCAGTCTGGCACCCTCTCTGCCCCATCCCCTCTCCCTGGTCACTCCTCACGGTTCCATGCAGTTCCTCTTGGAGACTTCCCTGATTCCTCCCACAGGAGGCCACTCCCCTCTCCATTACACATGGTCACATGGATATATTTTTATGCTCTCTTTTCACCCTAGCATCAGTCACCGTTGTTTGTAATCCTATGTTTATTCCTGTGATCACTTGACTAAAGTGGGCTGCCCTCTCTAGACTGGAGAGAGAGAGGCTTGTCTTGGTCATCACTGTATCCCCTGTTTTTGTTTATTTTTAAAATATATTTACTTAAAAAATATTACCTGATACAGAGTAAATATTTTATCAATATTTGTTAAACCAATGAATAACTAATTATGTGTTTTGGAGTGTCCAAATCCTTCTTAAGGAAATGACAGACACTATTGCCATTATTTCCCTAGTAAAGAAAGCAAGCGAGGTGCTGGTGGGGTGAGAGTGGTGAGGGGAATCGCGGGACAGGGTGAATGCCCGGAGAGGCAGGCTCTGCCCAGCTCGCAGCCCTTCGAGGGCAGTCCACCCACCTCGGCCTCCCAGGTGCCAGAATTACAGGCATGAGCCACGGCGCCTGGCAGCCTAGATATCCTTACAGGCTCAGCTGGCAGAGGCTATGGCTGACTCTCAAAGAACCAGAGCAGGACGCAGCCAGTCTGCTTCTGGGGAGACTGCAGAGAGGGGCGCGTGTCCAGCGAGGCTGCCTGTGCTGAGTCTGTGTGGTGTCCTCAGGGGGAGGGTCTCCTAACACCCCCTGTGTGTACACTTGAGGGCCTGTGTGCCCTGAGCCTTTACTCTGTGCTGGGCTCTACTGGGTGACCAGACAGTGACCTTGCCCCCAGGGGCCCTCAGTGGAGCCACCCTCTCTGAACTTTGGGCTCTGAGCTGTGGAAAGAGCCTGGCCCATGAGTCCCGGGGGAGAGGGATCAAGCCTGAGGACTCCTCTGGGAGGATGGCCTGGCTGGCTGAAGAGACGCCCCCTAGAGGGGCAGAGTTGAGGGGATCTGATGGAGCAGCCTGGGTGGGCCGGAGGAGCTGGGCACTGCCCTGCTGGGGACAGAGCCAGGCCTCAGCGGGAGTTGTTAGGAGATGGCTGACAGGAAGGAGGTTTCACTGAGTTTTGGGCCCGGCTGGCAGGGTCAGGGCTGGGAAGTATAACTGAAGCTGGTGGAGGGAGAAGCTCTTGAAAGTGGATGGGCCCCTTCTGACAAGGAGGAACTTGGTGGTGTCCTGGGGACCAAGGCCCACGTCATGCTTTAGCAAGAGTGACTGGGACCAGGATGACTGGGCAGAGCCACAGCTGAGTAGGAAAAACTGAGCCATCTTTCCTGGTGTGCGTGTGCGTGTGCATGTGTGTGTGCATGTGTGTGTGTGCATAGAACCTTTGAGAAAAGGATCATTTGGTGGGTGCTGACCAATGGAAGAACACTGCTGGGCAGATAGACTGGGCCGTGAGCTCCCATACCTGCTAGTCTAGGTGACCTTGTGGGAATGGTCCCCATGGGGATGGGCCATGATGGGAGAAGGGTCTCTGAGGATGATGTCCTGTGGGCAGGAGCAGGCACCTGTCTTGTGGAAGGCCAAGGTCATGGGCTGCCAGAGGAGGGGCCTAGGCTTCAGGCTGGGGAACGTTGGTCAGAGAGACCAACTTCTGCCTTGGCCCACATGTGGGGGTATCTGGTCACTCAGGCTGTGGCCCAGCCTACAGTATCCTCTTGGGTCAAAATTGGTGGGGAATCCATTTTCTCAGAGGGCTCATGAGCTGCCTCCGAAGGCCCTTCCTATAGAGGATGCTGGGTCCTCTGAGCCTGTTGACTTCTACGAGGGATCCGAAAGGCCAAAACTCAAAGCTGCTATCTTTGTTCAAATGTCAGCCCTGCATTGCAGTTGTCCCCAGATAAGTACAGTTGAGGAAGCATTGACTTCTGACTGAGTCTTGGTGACACCACATCTCACTGCTTCATGGTCTTTAGTCTGGCCTCATTCCTCACATGGGTGGGAGCTTGACGTGACGGATGAAGTCTAGTCTAGGGCAGCAGTGCACTGGTGGGGGCAGGGGTCAGACAAGGCCTTGAGTAAGGGCACCTTTCAGCATGAGAGCAGACCCACGCTGGTTTTCCCCAGGGCTTCCTGACTGCAAAGGCAGATGCCTCACCTCTGGGCCTGGGTTTCAAGAAGCCTCTGGTCAGCCTTGCGTGAGCAATATGGTCCCAGAGAGCCCCGGGGAATGATGTACCCCCGAGGCCATTTCCTCACGGGAAACATTTGCCCTCTGTGCTTGATTTTATTTTGAACAGTTCAAGCTTGAGACTCAACAGAAGATATTTCATCCCATTTGTTTCTTTATTGATAATTCGTAATATTTCTTTTGACATGTAAGCATCATCACCAGAGACTGTTACAGTGTGAATAGCTAACAATACAGAACACAGAGGGAATTTAATCTTATACTTAGTTAATTTACATTTTGTAATAAGCAGTACATTCAAACTTCTGAAACCAAACCAAACCAAAGAAAAACATGCCATGAAAAGTCTCTCCCCCTCACCTCCACTCACTCACTTCCTACCTCCCTGAATGAGCAACCACTGTAAATGTTTCTCATATATCCTTTGGAGAGATTTATATTGCACATCGTCTTATTTTCTTCCTTTTTTACACAAAAGGTTGTACATTATACATGCTGTGCTGTACCTTGTTTTTTATTTTTTAACATAACAATGTATCTTGAAGATCTTTTCATATCAATTCACAGAAGGAAGCCTCATTCCTTTTCAGCTGCTGCACAGTTTTCCATTATGCAAGTATGCCTGGCTGAGTTAACCAACCCCCCACAAATAAACTCTTGGGTTGTTTCCAGTCTTTTGCTACAAGAACCTTGTACATACATCACTTCTCACATGTGTAAGTTGAGCTGTAAAATAAATTCCCAGAAGTGCAATCGCTATATCAAAGGGAATGTGCATTTGTGGCTTTGATAGATTTGTCGACTTGTCTAGCACAGGTGTTGTTACCACTTCCACCAGAATTGTATGAGAGTCCCGTTTTCCTACAGTCTTCCTAGCACAGTGTTTCACTGACCGGTCACATGATGTGGTAGCAAATGTCCAGGGTAAGGACCTCAACTCTGGGAAAAACTGTACCTCCCGGGAAGGTCTTTAGGACAGGAGGGGCAGGAGCACCGGATGACTAAGCCTGTGGGTCAGCCCAAGCTCGAATCCTCAGGCAAACCAATAAATCTCTCTAGGTCTCAGTCTTCTCATCTGCAAAGTGGGGAAAATAACCTACCTTGAGGGTCATCATGAGGATTAGATGACATGATGCCTGTCAAAAGGGCTTTGCACAGTCCCTGGCACATGGCTGCGGGAGGCTGACTCTGAACTTACCAGCAGGTGACCTTGGGAAAGGCAGTGCCTTACCTGAGCCCCTGCTGGTGTATTCTCTGGTCAGGGAGGGAGTTGGGGTCAGGTCCTCTTCATAGTCTCAGGGTCTGACCTGTCTTTCTTTAGCAACGTGTATAACCTCCACTCACCCTTCCTCTCTCCTGCTCATCAAAGGTATTCAGGAGTCTCCGGTGCCGAACGGCCACTCGCTTCCGGGCAGAGACTTCCTCCGGAAGCAGATGCGGGGAGACTTGTTCACACAGCAGCAGCTGGAGGTGCTGGACCGCGTGTTTGAGAGGCAGCACTACTCAGACATCTTCACCACCACAGAGCCCATCAAGCCCGAGCAGGTACGCCTCGTGATGCACGCCCACCACACCTGCCACCGCCACACCGGCCCAGCCAGGTTCCTGAAGGCAGAGGCATCTGGCGGGGTGTGGGTGAGGGCACACCAGGTTCTGCTCAGAGAGGTCTCTTCAGTGTTCTTGGCCAAACTTGGGCAGTCGCTACATCCTATAAGGTCGGGAGGGCTTGTCTGGGCCTCCAGTGGCTTCTTGCCCTGGTGCCTCTGTCGCTGGCCAGCCAGGGGGTGGGTGACTTCTCTGGCTGCTCTGGTGTCCTTTCCAAGGGCTCTTTGGACAGAAGGGTGTAATGATCTTTCGGGCCACGTAAGGTGGTCTTGGGTCAGTATCTTGTCAGTCAGGGTGATGGTGGAAATATGTAACCAGCACGCGGCCTGGGGGCTCACCGGCCGTGAACAATGGAATGACGGAGCGGGTGGGTATCCCACTGTCTGCCCTCTCACCAGGTCGCCTTGTCATTCTCTTAGTGACTGAATCCAAAATTCTGGAGATAAAGAAATGTCTCATTGCACAAACTCCCACCTGGGTTATTTGCAAGAGAGGGAGAAAGCAGGAGGACCAGCCCTGGCTGACCGGCTGTCTGCTATACCCTGGGCAGAGTAGTCACTACCTGTGGCTATAGAGATGAGATCACGAGGCTCGGCCCAGTGAGAGGCTCTTGAGGCCTGACTAAGATCTCTGGACTATCAGATTCAGTTCATAAGACTATTTCCTGACACCCAGTGTGTGCCAGGGCCTTGACAGGTAACCTTGCAGGCTAGACATGGCTCTGGACTGCCAAGAGCTCCCACCTGGTGGGCCAACCAGAGAGACCCTACAGACAACAACTTTCCTCGGCACTTTCCTCGCTGGTACTAGTGGTGAGAACTGGCTGCGCTGAGTTTCCTCTAAATGCTAATTAGAGGATGCTTCTGAATCTTCTCCAAAAAGTCAGTCCAAGCAGTGTAGCCTCCCTGCACAGCTCCCATGGAGAGGCGAGGTGCTGGAGAGAACCGTGTGGTGAGGGAAGAGCAGGGCCTCTGGGGCCACCCATCTATGACAGTCTGTCTGTGTCTGAGCAGTTTCTATGAGAGCTCTTACAGACCTTCTAGCCACTTTGTTTTCAGATGGTAAAACCAAGGTCCAGAGAGGCAGAGCAACTTGCCTAAGGCCACGCTGCAAGACGCATTCACATAACAAATATGATGAGTGTTTACTTTGTGCAAGGCCTGGAGCCATGCACTGGGTCACATCAGTGAACAAGATGGTCTTGGACCTCCCCTCAGGGAGCCTACAGACTTGTGGAAGAATCCCAATAGAAGAATTACCTAAAGGGTCATGGGTTACAGGTGCGCTTGGTGCTAAGGAGGAGGTGTCTGAGGTTCTCTGAGAGCCTAAAGGAAAGGCTGAGCCAGCCTGGAGGCCTCAGTGGCCTCCTGGGGGAAAGGTATTTATGCTGAGCCTGAAGGGGTTGAGTGGAGCAAGGAGAAGGGGTGTGGGGGTGGAGGGAAAGTGCCTGGCAGAGGGGACAGCAAGTGCAAAGGCCCTGAGTTGAGAGGAAGGCGGCAGGAACGAGGAATGGAGAGAGCCGGTGTGGTTGTGGCTCAGGGATGGGCGGGCGATGATGCTGGGGAGGTGGGCCTGGTCTTGTAGACTGGGTTGAGGATTTTAGTCTTTCTCTTACAAGTCGAGTGACACCTCTGTTGGGTAGGACATGGTTATGGTGCTGGGCATAGCCGCCCCCACACACTCTAGATCTTGGACTTCAGGGAGGAGAGTCTGTTTCTATCACAAGCACCCTCTCTGCTCTGCTCAGAGCCCTTCTGAGAGACGGC
This sequence comes from Homo sapiens, assembly GCF_000001405.40. Classification (NCBI taxonomy): domain Eukaryota; kingdom Metazoa; phylum Chordata; class Mammalia; order Primates; family Hominidae; genus Homo; species Homo sapiens. The sequence continues at coordinate 36,964,722 of NC_000009.12, read as the reverse complement.
AGAAGGCACATTTTCTCTGACACGGGAGGAGAGTGAGAGGGGCCTCGATCAGGAAACCTTCCTGGATGAGGCCTGTCCTTCCCTCCAGAATGTGGAAGAAAGTTTATCTTCTTTTTTTTTTTTTTTTTGTGAGCTGGAGTTTTGCTCTTGTTGCCCAGGTTGGAGTGCAGTAGTGTGATCCTAGCTCACTGCAACCTCCACCTCCTAGGTTCAAGTGATTCTCCTGCCTCAGCCTCCTGAGTAGCTGGGATTACAGGTGCCTGCCACCACGCCCGGCTAATTTTTTTGTATTTTTAGTAGAGATGGGGTTTCACCATGTTGGCCAGGCTTAGTCTTGGACTCCGGACCTCAGGTGATCCACCCTCCTTGGCCTCCCAAAGTGCTGGGATTATAGGTGTGAGCCACTGCGCCCAGCCAGAAGGTTTATCTTTTTTCTTTTTTTGAGACAGAATCTTGTTGTGTCGCCCAGGCTGGAGTGCAGTGGCGCGATCTCGGCTCACTGCAAGCTCCACCTCCCGGGTTCGCGCCTTTCTCCTGCCTCAGCCTCCCGAGTAGGACGGACTACAGGCACCCGCCACCATGCCCGGCTAATTTTTTCTATTTTTTAGTAGGGGCAGGGTTTCGCCGTGTTAGCCGGGATGGTCTTGATCTCCTGACCTCATGATCCGCCTGCCTCGGCCTCCCAAAGTGCTGGGATTACAGGCATGAGCCACTGCACCCGGCCAGAAAGTTTATCTTCTAATGGCTGACAAGATCATGTAATTTTAGGGGTAACAGGAGCCACAGAGGCAAGATTTCAACCTGTTGTTTTTTTAGAGGCCCAGAGAGAGGACAGGGCATGTCTGAGGTCACCCAGCAAGTGAACAGGGAAGAGCGGGGATCCAGGCCTCTGCACTCCACCTGGCCTCTGCAGCACAAGTGTTTCTGTGAACCCCTTATTCACACAGACACTCCGTGTGAGACTCCCTCTGTGTTTCACATGACCGTCATGGAGACTCAGAATCTGCACCATAACTCCTTTAGCTCAGAGTGCCCAGGAAGACCACGCAGCCTGCAAGACCTCATCCCTGAGTGGTCTGGAAGCCGCCCATGGATTCACTCACTCACCTGCTCACATGCCACTCCTCTAACTTCTTCCCTGAACGTGGGCTGGGAGCCAGGCACAGTGCCAAGTGCTCATCAGCTCTGTCCAGTCTCGCAGGGGCAGCGTGCTGTGGACTCAGAGCCCGCAGGACAAGAGAGACTGTTCAGAGGGTCCTGATGAGGTGTCAGCCAGAGAGGGGGATGTTACCTGGGTTGGGAGCATCAAGGACAATGGCACTGAGGGGGCAGTGTTGGATGGGGGGCTTGAAGGACAGGTCCCATGGGCTCATGGAGAGATGGGGTCTGATGGGGAGGAGACCTGATTACAAACTCTGTGAGGACTCAGCATCTCCAGTGTCCTTCAGAATGAGCAGGCACGTCTGCAGGCCTGTCTCTGACTGTGCGCTCTGAGACGGCGACTGCAGGCGAACTGTGTGGCAGGATAATGACTGACCCAGTGTTTTCTGGTTAATCTGCTTCACCTCCCTGTAATGTGTTTTAATGAGGAGAGATGGAAGGTGAGGAGACGGGGCTGCCCTGCACCCACACACAGGCACTGGACTATGAATGACATACCCTCGTGCCCGATTCCCAATCACTTTGGACAAATGATGCCTGAGCAAGGGGCCGCAGGCTGGGAAGGGATGTCAGTCAAGGGTACAGGTTCCTTGAGCCCCTCATGCTAGCTCTCCAAGAGGTGAATGTTCCACAGGCCTCGCCTGTGAGCCCCAGCGTGGCATGGCGGTGGTGACAGGAAGGGGGCCTGAGGTGCTGGCCGCGGAGGCTGGCTGCCTCTTCCATTTTCGAGCAGATTGAGCTGTCTCAGTGTGTGTCTCTGTGGCCTAGTGCCCTGGATGGGGGCCTTGCTGTCACTTTCGCTGAGCAGCTTGGTGGGGAACAAAGAGCACTTACTGGCCTTGGGGTCGGGAAGCTTGATTTGAGTCCTAGCTCTGCCCTGCCGAGCAAGTCACTATTTTTCTGGGCCTCAGTTTCCATATCTGTGGTAGAAGTGATCATGATTTTGATGACGACAACAACAAGAACAGCTGCAGCAGCCGAAACCGAACGTGACGACAGCGATCCTCCTCACCTACACACCACAGCGTTCAGTTCACAAAGACCGTTCACATCCATCCTCTCATTGGACCCCCGAGGCAAATGCCTGCCAAACAGGCTGGGCATGATTCGGGAGCCCCATTGTATAGACTAGAACATTTTTTTTCACAGATTGTTTATTCAAGGAGTTTCCAAGATTGTTGAACCGCAGAGCTGGAATCTCATCTCAGGGTCTTCTGTCTTCATCTCATGCAAGATGGTTCCATGGGCCTCCAGGTCCAGGACGATTCCAGGGGCCAGTTTTCTGGCTAGCTGGTTTCCAGACCTGGCCTATTTCAGTCAGAGTCTGCCTGTCATCCAGAACTCTCAGAACTTGCCATAGGTTTGGAGAGGCCACATCCTCCCGGATCCTCCCACCCTGTCTCCCATGGGAAGAACATTCCTCATTGGGGCCAGGCAGGGGTCCTGACAGTTACTGCTGTTAGCTCGGAGCCTGCCCCACTTGCAGCTTTTCCCGCCAAGATCTACCTGGGTGGGTGGGCCCAGGCTGCTGGCTTTTGTAGGGAAATGTAGTAAACGCTTTGCCCTGGGTGGAAGGCGTTAATGTTGACCACGCCTGGGCAATGAAACACTTCCTTTTCAAAACGGTTATTGAAAAAGCAATTCTGTTTTCCCTACATATGGAGTGAGTAAAAATCACGTTGGAGGAAGAAAAGAAAAGAAAGCTGCTGGTGGCGAGTGTGTGTGCGTGCACGTGTGTATGTGCGTGCGTGTGTGTGTGTATGTTTCCAACAGTGGTATCTGTTTCAGTAAAACTCCCGTTGACGTTGTCGTCGGCGCAGCGCTCCTGTTGGGAGCGGGTCCCTCCTCCGGCGGCCACAGGAAGGCTACGGAGCATAGCCTGCCGTATTTACTCTCGGCAGACTATTAACCAACACCAGGCTATTAATCTGGCTTTTGAGCCTTCACTAAAGCCCATAAAAGCTCACAGTTGTCAAATGGAGTTCATTTTAATTTCCTTTCAATCACAGTAAATTATTCAGGTGATAAATCAGCTGGAGCAGCCTCCTGGCTGTAATAGAAACCCTAATTCCTGGCTAATTATCCATCCCATTGCTGCCAATAGATCAATACGGGTGCAAAATGGAACGGGCCAGGGCCCTCCCTCCCATTGGGCCAGAGACAGAGAGACAGCTGGGGAAGGGGATGTGCTGCTGACCTCCCAGGGAGTTCAAAGGTCACAGGAGGTTAAACTGGGAGAAGATCTGCCCCTTGTCTAACAGAGAAAACCACTAGAAATGCCTCCTGCTCTCATCAGCTGCTTTGCCCCCTCAGTGGTGGCACCTCTCCAGGCTGGTGGGCCGAACAGCATTGCCTTCTCCTGTGGGCATCCTGTTCCTGGGAAGGGGCTGGTTTGTGCTTCTGAGCATGTTGAGCTTGGTCATCAGGGATGGCCTGAACCTCGACCATGAGGCAGAAAAAGGGCTGGGTACCCTGGGGAGAAAGAGGATGTGGTTTTTTTCTTCAGAGAGCTCATTTTCCTTCATTATGGATCTGTGTCCCACCATGAGGAGGAGAGGAGGAGAGGAGGAGGTGGGGAGACAGGTGGGCCAGGCTGAGAAAGAGGAAGGCTTCCTGGAGGAGGTGCCTTGAGGGAAGGGCAGAATGCAGCCCCGTGGCAATAGCAGATGGCGGGCTGGAGAAGGCATTCTAGGCCGAAGGAGCAGCACAGGCAAAGGACTGTGGGAAGAGAGGAATGCAGGTGTGGGCAGGGAGCTGCAAGGGGGCCTGGATGGTTGAAATGGGGGTCAGTGACAGGAAGTCAGGTACAATGGGGTGGAGGAGCAGGAGGGGACCTCAACCACAGAGGGGTGGAACGCAGAGATGAGGTGTGACTGCTTTGAGGGCAGTGTGTCCCAGAGCCCGGGATCTGTGGCCTGGATTATTCTGCTCACCTTGGAAGCAACCTTCACTGGGACTTCTTGCCTCTCGTCCTGTTCCTGCGACTACCGTTGGATCTCTTTCTTCTTGAAGCCTACCTCCTATAAGAGTTCCTCATGGTTTCCCACCATTGAAACCCAACCCCGGACCTTCATCCCCATCACGCCCCTTCACCGTCCCCATGTCCCTCTGCTTGCTCACAAGACCCTCGGGCTGTGGCCAGGCCTGACCTTTCACTGCCCACACAGGCTGGGCTGCTCCTGTGTCCAAGGGGGCTGCTGCCCATGACCCAGCCTCTCCCAGGGCTGGCGTGTGCATGTGTGTATGTGCATGAACGTGTGAATCCCAGGTGAGGCTCTGAGCGTGTTTCGTGACAGGTACTACAGTTATTACTTTCTTAATTTTGTGGCTCACTCTCTAAGCTGCTGCTCACTGCTTCCCTGCCTGGAACATTCTTTCAGCCTGTTTCTAAATCCTACCCTGTCCGGGCCCAGGAGGAGTCCTGCCTGCCCTGTGAGGCCTTCAATGGCCCTGCACCAATTCGGCCTGCACCAACTTGTCTCTTATCTGAGCTCATAAATATATTGGGTTTTAGTGATTGCTGTAGTAATTGCTGTAGCTACTATGTATTCATTGCTTATGGCATGCCTGGCTCTGTTCTGAAAAGACTCTTACTTACCCCACCTCATTACCAAGTCACAACAACTCCCATCATCCCCGTTGTGCAGGCAGAGTAGCTGAGGCTTGGTGAGATGAGTACAGTGGCTTAGCCAAGGGCACACAGTAAATATGGGGCCAAGATCATAAGCCAGGTCCTTGCCTCCAGAGCCCAGGCTGGTGGCCATTGGGGTACCCCCCAGTTGCAGCACAGGCTGCCCACTGACTCTTAGAGATGGATAGTTTCCTGGAGATGCAACCTGGGGGTTCAATTTGATCATGCAAGCAGCTGAGCATGAGTTAGGAGGTGCTAGCACGGCCACATGAACCAGTGTGATCTCAGGAGGCATAAACAGAAGTCTAGGGTGGTGACTGTCCCATTCTCCTCTGAGCTGGTTCTGTTCCTCTCACCCTGCCTCTCTCCTCGTGGGGCTGTGCTCAGGGCCAAGCTCCTCCTTTGCAAAAGTAGAGTTTGTGCGGAAGAGGCAACTGAAAATTCTTACCTAGGAAGAATGACTGGAGAAATTTGGGCCATTTGGTCTGATGAAGAGAAGGCTTGAGGTTGTGGGCAAGGAAGAAGACAGGCTAAAAGAACTCACTAATAGCCCAAGCTTTCTGACAGTGGAATGGGCCTCCTTGTTAAGTAGTGAGCTTCCCATTGCTGGAGGCATGCAAGTAGAATCTATCCATTTTCATACATGTGGTTTTAGAAGTTTAAGAATCCAGAGAGCTTAATTATCTAAATGCCAATGCCTTTCCAACCTGAAAGAATGATTCTAAGATAAGAAGAATGAGAAGGGTCTGGTGGGAAGAGGGGAAGGAGTAGAGAAGATCTTTTACACTGAAGCACCGGAAGGGGCACTGAAGGGCAGTTCCCCTGAGGAATCCTCACTAGGGTGGACAAAGAGGGTCAGTCTGCATCACAGGAGCCATGGCCCTGAGCAGCAAAGGGGTGGGGACTGCAGGGTCTTGGGAGGCCATTGGATGACTCCAGCTCCTCTAGTGCAGGGAGCAGGGCTGGGGTTCTGGTGAAGATGCCAGGGCCAGGATACTGGTGGCTGCTGTCAGCCTTGCTGCCTCCAGACAGTATCTGGCTTCCTCTGCCCAGGAGTTCAGGGCCAGGTCCCATGGGGGAGGAGTAGGCTGGTCAGCACATTAGCAGAAAGTGGTATGTGGTAAGTTGGTGAGGTGCGAGGGGACTTGTGTGCTGGGGTCAGGGCCTTGGATTGTATTACCTTGAGAGCAAAGAGAGGCCTCTGTGAGATTTTAAATCAGGGAATATCAGGATCCAATCCAACACAGAGTGGAAGATTACTCTTGCAGCTGTGAGGAGACTCGGAGAGCTAGGGGACCAGGAGGCGATTGCTAGGGTATAAGCGACGTTGCTGTACCCCTGAAGATGGCTGCCTGGGTCTAGCTTCTCTCCAGTCCGTAGTATTGCCCAAAAAGTGTGGCCCCATCATGCACGGCTTCTCTCCTTTCCCTTCTGCTCCCCCACCTCCTCACACTTCCCCCCACCAACCCTCCAAGTCTCCAGCCAGGCCCCCGTAGTTCCTAGAGTTAGCTTGAATTTGATTCTGAGCTTCCTGATGGTCAAAGCAAAATGGGAAATGCAATCAGTTGTGTTCTTCTCATTGTCCACCAGTGGAGGAGAGTCCAGTTCCTCAATGGAAGCCATTTTTTTTTCCTGACATTTAGAGTGGAAGGAAATTTTCACATGGGTTTTCAGTGGGTAGACCAGTGAGGCAATGGTCACGGTCCTCAACAGCACATTTAGAGGCCCTGCAGTAGGTTGTATAGAGCTTGTCTTATGGATGAGTATGACGCCCACATGCTAATCAGTGCATTTCTGCAGGGGCAGGGCTACTGTGACCATGAGGCTCAAGAAAGCAGCTTTTCTGATAGCCCAACTTAACTAAGAAAAAATCCCAGACCCTCTAGGGTAGCTCTTCTTAGATTTTCCAACTTGATGCTCTGGGAAGATACGCTTTGGGGCTTTGAGACCTCCTGCCACCCAGAGGGTACCCCTGGGAAAATGTCCTCCTTAGGTGGAAAAGTTTCAGTCTATTGGAAGGTGCCTCCAGTGGTCACCATCAACTGCATCAGCTCAACTCTTGATGAGAATAAGAATTTCGTAGTTTGCGTTGACTTCTCTGGTGGGAGCTTGGTAGGCAGGGACTTGGGGACTTGAAGGAGGGAGAAGTCATATGTTTTAGAGATTAAAGAAGGAGATGGTAGGCTGGATGCGCTTTTGTTCAGGACTTCCCAATTACCATAGCACGCATAGAAAGTGTTAATATTTGCGTAACACACTGGGATAAACAGGATGCTCGTGGCTGGAGGCAACTGACCTACAGGCTTTAGCTTCCCCACATGTCCCCTGGTCATCCAAAGGCTGACAGAGTTTGATATCTTGGCACACTATTTGTAAGGCTCTGCTTTTGTGGAAAGGAAGAGTTGGGGTTTGGTTGGAGCTTTGAATCTTCTTTCTTATTCTTCCTCTGTAGGGTTGCCAACCTAGCAAAAATGGACAAGGTATTGATTTGGGTACTGAACAAGTACCCAAATACTCACTCCATACCTTCCCAACCGTTTCTAGGGGCTCTGAAAACCTGAGTTGCGCAGTACCACTTAGGCTTAACTTAAGCACCCCTTAGAGGAGACCTAAAGTGAAGCTTCTGGCACGTTATTTCCCAAACTGACTGCCCTGTAGAGCAGACCCTCCCTGGCTTACCCACCCAGTTGCAGGAGGGGAAGATGGAACTGAGAGACGGACTTAACTGGGCCTTCCTATGGGAAACCTGAAGCGTGTAGAAGCTTGAAGATCCAGAGAAGGGCTTCTGAGCCGCAAGGCACAGCGATGCCGCCCACCAGCGAGCACAGCTAACTGCTTGTCCTGGGCTCTGACCAGTCGGATAAGTGACTCCTCCCATGGCAGGGAGCTATAAGAGGGTGGAAGTGGGGGGGACAAGGCTTCTCATCCCAGTTGTCCCCAGCAGGAGGAGAGGAGGTAGAAATACCTTCCTGTTCACTGAACTGCTTAAGATTTAACTTGGACGCTATTTTGCCTTAGGAATGAGATAATCACAAGGATTATTCTGGAATTGTTGCTCCCTAGATCTCTAGAAGTGCCGGGTGCCTCTAGACCAGCCATACTCTCCCTTATTCTATTTATTCTATTGTCATCATCTCAAAGTGACCCAAGGATGAAAATTACATGGACTCTATGGGACCTCACTTGATTTGCTGCCAAGAATATTGCCTGGGGATGTCCATTTGTCTCTAAGTAGCTTTTGAAATATTTTCTAAACAGTTGAGTAGTCTTTGTCTTCCTGTGAACCAAGCACAAGGACAGCTCCCCAGTAAAAATCGTTCCTGCTTTGTAAGGGAGGGGGATGTTTGAGGGAATACTGGGCAAATTGCCATAGTGAAAAGCGTGGGGTTCTGGGCTTTAGTGATGGCTCTTAGGCTAGTCACTCTGGGTCATGGTTTTTGCATTTAGGGTGGGAGATTGCCCTGGGTCATCCTTGAGATCCATTCTAGCTCTAACATTCTGTGAGTGATAAAACAAATGGGAAATCCATCACTTATTTTTATTTTGACTTGTTTACAGTTTTTCCTCCTGTCTGTTCCACTCTTTTTGATGACAGGCAAATTCTGTGTTTGTGGGATTTAAAGATTACAAGTGAATTGTCAAAGAGCTGCCTGCACCTTGCTCGGTTGTTCTTTCATTCATTTATTCATTCATTCATCCAAGAAATTTTTACAGATATGCCATGTCAGTGACATTGACCACCTGTGCTGTGTTGTGTGGCATAAAGTAACAGCAATTGATGCAGCCAAAATACTGTGTGAGAATTGACTTTTGAGTAGAGATATTTCCCCTCAAACAAGGCTATCCAATATTTGCAATTCAAAAAAAAGACAAAAGAACAGCTAATTTTGGTCTTACACCTTGTTTGTTTTGAGGGTGTGTCGGAAGTTTGACTTAAGGAAGTCGGCTATTTACAAAACTCTTAAAAAACAATAAAAATAAACATTTATTGTTTTGTAAATTATTTTTTAAAAAAGAACGTAGATTTCTGATTCTTATAACAAGATCTGAGCTATTGTAGGCTCTCCTATTGCAAACAATTGGATCAAATATAACAATAAAGCATTATATATATATGTGTGTGTGGGTATATATATATATATATATATTTTTTTTTTTTTGAAACAAAAAGAGGGAAATCCTCAGTGGCTGTAATTTAAAAGGCAGCTCAAAGCCAGAACTTTAAGTGCATGAGCTAATGTCCTGGTGGCCCAGGGTATGGGTTCTCAATATAGTCTCTAGTGAACAGGGGCTGGGGTTTTGATGCTGATGTTGAGACAAAAGATGTAGTCTTAGAATTGTGTGATATATAGGAGTGGGAACCAAAGCTCCTGCAAAAAACTAGAAACCTGGAAGGGCTGCACATTCCATGAAATGGGCACTAGGTAAGTTTTACCCACAAGCTGAAGGAGGCAGTAGGGAAACTTGATTCTACATGGGACTCAGACAAAAACAAAATATTTCTAAAAAATTCAAGGATGGAAATAATATAAAAACTGGAGGCATATTAGTGAAATCACTGAGATGCCTCGCAGATGCATATAAAAAAACTTTCATCTGGCTCCTTCCACAATTTAGTATGTACAACATGCCTACAGAATAAATAATAACTACTAAATAAGCTCACAATTTAAAAATGTCAAACCACCCAAGAAAATGAGGGAAAGTTAGGAGACATAACGGGCAAAATGAGTATTCCAAGAATCCAAGATAGCAGACAATTTGAAAGAGACTAGAAAATGATTAAAGAGATGAAAAAGACTAGAAACCATTATAAAAGAATAAAATGCCATGACAAAAGAAGGAACAGACTAGAAAGAGAATCAAATAAATTTTCTAGAAATAAAAATTATGATGTGAGAATTAATTAAAAATTCAACTGATGGATTAAATACCAGATAAGACATAGCTGAATAGAAAATTACTGATTTGGGAGGAGACAAAGCTGAGGAAATTCTCAGGAACATAGCATAGAAAGCTAAAGAGTTGGGAAATATGAAAGAAAAAGGTAAGAGATAAAACAAAATATCATGAGAAAGTCCAACATACACCAAATAGTTGGCATGGAAAAATAAAAACAGAGAAAAGAGGCAATATTTGAAGAAATAATAGCTAAGACTTTGTGAAACAAAACTGTTGCAAGAAACATGTATCATTAGATTGAAGAAGCATACTAAATCCCAAGCAAGTTAAATAAAAATAAACAGACATCTAAGCAAAACTTTAGTGAAATTGAAGAACATCAAAGACAAGAGAAAATTATGAAAGCAACCAGAGAGAAAGTACAACATTTAGACTGACAGGGCTCTTTTTTCAGCATTGTTAGAAGTCAGAAGACAACAGAAAATATCTTCGAGTGTTAAGAGATAGTAATAATTACCTCGTACTCAGATAAATGATCATTTAACAGTGAAGGCAAATAAAGACATTTTCAGATAATGGCAGGGAGAGTTTACCACTCACAGACTCTTGCTGAACTGCTAAATCATGTACTTCAATAAGAAAGATATGAGAGACTTGCAGTTTCAGCTCTGACAAGTGGAGTTTTGACACCATTACTCTGATCTTTACAATAAGAAGTAAAGCTGAACAAAAGGAAAATCAACACGTTTTCTTGGCCTAAGTCATAAGAATACAGAGTTACAGCTGAGATCTGCCAGATTAACATGAAACCTTACTTTAGTCCAATTACTTCATGTATCATGTACAACTTTCAACAAAATATTAGGCAAGAAAAAAAAAAGTAAGAAGAGACAAAGTAAGCATCAAAATCAGACTCAGACTTTGGAATTATTAGATAGGTATATATTTTTTTCTTTTGAGACAGGGTCTTGCTCTGTCACCCAAGCTGGAGTACAGTGGCATGATCTCAGCTCACTGTAACCTCAACCTCCCAGGCTCAAGTGATTCTCCCCTCTCAGCCCCCCAAGTAGCTGGGACTACAGGCAGCACCACCACGCCTGGCTAATTTTTGTATTTTTTGTAGAGACCAGGTTTCACCATGTTGCCCAGGCTGGTCTTGAACTCCTGAGCCCAGGTAATCAACCTGCCTTGGCCCCCCAAAGTACTGGAATTACAGGTGTGAGCTACTGCACCTGGCCAAGATAGGGAATTTAAAATGACTATAATTAATATGTTAAGGACTGTAATGGAAAAAGTAAACAACATACATGAATGGATGAGTAATGTAAGCAGAGAGATGAAAATTCTAAGAAAGAATCAAAAGAAAAATAAAAAACACAGTAACAGAAATAAAGACTTTCTTTGCTGGGCTCATCACTAGACTGGACACAGCCAAACCAAGAATTTGGGAGCTTGAAGATATGACAATAGAAACTTTCCCACACTGAAAAGCAAAGAGAAAAAAGAATGAAAAAACAAAACCAGAACAGAACACCTAAGAACTGTGGGATAATTTTAAGAGGCATAGCATATTTATAATTAGGTTGCCGGAAGGAGAAGAGAGAATGAAGAAGAAGAAATATTTGAAATAACAATGGCTGGGAATTTTTCAAAATTAGTGACAGATGCTAACCAAAAATGCAGAAAACTTAGAGAACACCAAAATATCTACATTAGGCATATAATATTCAAAAGCCAGAATATCAAAGACAAAGAGAAAATCTTGAAAGAAGCCAGAGGTAAAAATTACCTTACTTATAGAGAAACAAGAATAAAAATTACAGTGGATTTCTTGTCAGAAACCATGCATACAAGAAGAGAGTGGAGTGACATATTAAAAGTGTTGAAAGAAAAAGTTCACCCACCTAGAATTTTATATCATGGGGAATTATACTTCAAAAGTGAAGGAAAAAATAAAGACTTTCCCAGTTAAACAAAAATGGAGGAAATTCATCACCAGCAGACTTGGTCTAGAAGAAATGTTAAAAGAAGTTCTCCAGAGGAAGGAAAATGATGTAGTTCAGAAACTCAGATCTACATAAGGGAAAGAAGGGAGTTGGAGAAAGAATAAATGAAGGTAAAATAAGACCTTTGATTTTTCTATTCTTAATTGATCTAAAAGGTAACTGTTTGTGTAAAGTAATAATAATAACAATGTATGGAGTGATTTATTACATATGGATAAGTGAAATGATGGCAGCAATGTCCTAAGGGACAGGAATGAGGAACTGGGAATATTCTATTAGAAGGTACATGATTGAAGAGGAATAGTATCATTTGAAGGTGAATTTAGATTAGATATAAACGTATATTGCAGACTCTAGGGAAAGTACTAATACTTAAAAAAAGAAATATAATTGAAATGCTAACAGAAGAGATAAAATGGAATTGTATGACACGTTCAGTTGAAACCAGAGAAGGAAGAAGAGGAGACGTAAAGAAACAAAGAACAAGTTCAACAAGTAGAAAAGTTACAAACGTAGTAGATATGAATCCAATTATATCAATAATCACTTTGAATGTGAATGGTCTAAACATACCATTGAACATATTGAAACCCCGTCTCTACTAAAATGCAAAAAATTAGCTAGGCATGGTGGCATGTGCCTGTAATCCCAGCTACTTGGGAGGCCGAGACAGGAGAATTACTTGAACTTGGGAGGCGGAGGTTGCAGTGAGCCGAGATCTCGCCATTGTGCTCCAGCCTGGCTGAAAGAGCAAGACTCTGTCTCAAAAAAAAAAAAAAAAAAAAAAAGGGAGATGGTCAGAGCATATTAAAAAAACAGAAGGACTCATCCATATGTTGCCTACAAGAAGGATATGAAATACAAAAGGAGAGAATGGGATTTAAGAAGTGATGGTAACCAAATACATAGATAAATGAACAATAATCTAAATAGGTTTGTCCAATAAATAATATCACCTGTAAAAGTAATTCATAGTTTTGGAAGTTTAAAACAAAGTAGGAAAAAAGGCAATAATAATATGTAAGATTGGGAGGAGGCTGATCTAAGTTAAAACATTCTAAGATTTTTGCATTTCATAGGAGGAAGATAGATATATTGATAAACGTTAGGCTGTGTTAGGTCAAGGATGCCAGTGAGCAAATTAAGGATAACAATTAAAGGGTAACCATTATGGTAATAGAATGCATAATGTGCAAACCAGAATAAGCAAAAAGAAATATTTAGAATACTTAGTGGATCCAATAGAAGGTAAGGGAGAAGAAAGGTAAATTAAAAATATAAAATTACACAATAGAGGATAGAAATAAATAAAAATATTTGAGTAGTCTCGATAAATAGATTGGATTTGCAAGATAAATAGAAGACGTGTAAAATAACCAAGACCCAGAAATGTGGTGTTTTTAGTAATTAACCTAAAACAAAATGGTACTGAAAGTTTGCAAGGACTGAGAGAGGAAAATATGGCAATACTAACCAAATAAAATGTGATAGAGTAATCTCATTATCAGATGATATAAACTTTAAGGCCCAAAGTATGCTCAAAGACAAAGAGGATTATTGCTTAATGATAACAAGAACAATTTGTAGGAAAATATAACAATCCTGAACCTGTACGCACTTGGCAACAGAGTCTCTAAATATTTAAAGCAAAAAATGTCAATGAACAAATGAACAAATCCCATGATATTTTGGGGAGACTAAAATGCCCCTCTTGTTAATGAATAAATCAAGCTGACAAAAAATTGGCAGGGATATTTGTAAGTTTTGCACAACATAATTAACAAGCTTAATAGAATAGACACATGAAAGGACAACAATTAGAGAATACTTTGCTTTTTGAACTCCTGGAAGGAATACTTCCATGAATGCCCATTTATCCTGCCCCCTACTTACACCACCCTACCACCCTACTTCCCTACCCCCAAATATGTCTTATAAGGAACTTGTAGAGGAAGTGGAACTGGCTGGCCTATAGAAAAGAAAATTCATGCAGTGGCTCACGCCTGCAATCCCAGCACTTTGGGAGGCCGAGGTGGGCGGATCACGAGGTCAGGAGTTTGAGACCAGCTTGGTCTCGAGATGGTGAAACCCCGTCTCTACTAAAGATACAAAAAATTAGCTGGGCGTGGTGGTGTGTGCCTGTAATCCCAGCTACTTGGGAGGCTGAGGCAGGAGAGTCGCTTGAACCTGGAAGGCGGAGGTTGCAGTGAGCCAAGATTGCAGCATTGCGCTCCAGCCTGGATGAGAGGGCAAGACTCCATCTCAAAAAAAAAAAAAAAAAAAAAAAGAAAACTCAGTGGATATGCAAGAATGTGATCTGATCTCAAAAGGGCTCCTGTGGAGAAGGAACAGAAGCAGACTTCTTCGTAGTTCCAAGGGGCAGACCCAGGATTTAGGTGGAAATTACAGAGAGGCAGCTCTCATCTTAGTTGAAGGAAACCTTCCAAGCAGGCGAGCTGCCTAAATGTGGATTGGGCTGGGAATCTTCTGTCGCTGAGAGTGTCTGGTGTGGGCAGTGAGGCCACTTGGGAGGAAGACTGAGGAGGGGTTTCAAGTGTCAGATTGGGGCTTGGAAGAGGTAACCACCAGGGTCCCTTCCAGCTCTGAGCTTTGGCATTCTGTGACGCATGTGGTTGCATTTCCTCTCTTCTATTTTGGAGAAAAGATGAATTTGTTGATTCTTTCCCAATGTCTTGGCTATGAAACCAAATGGGATGATTTTATTGAAGATCATCACATAGTCCAGCTCAGTGTCAATGCTTTTAAGAAGGTGCAGACCCTTCTTGGGTCAGGGCAACAGAATTGGTGATGTTTTCATTTCAGGCTCACCAAGAGGACAGATAACTTTATCTACCTGTTGGTTACAGTAGTTCAAGGGTTCCTGGCAAGAGCCGGCTCATCAGGATGAGAGCATGCAAGGAAGATTATGACAAACAAGCTTTCAGAAGGAGCTTAGGGACTTAGATGAGTTCTAAATGACAGGTTAATAACGGTCCTATCTGTGTCCATCCATGAGGCTGGAGCTGGGGAATGGAGATTAAGGTCAGTGGAGTCAAAGAGGTGTCGCTTAGGGAGGTCGAGGGTAGGTGAAGATCGTGGTGGGAGGTCCCGAGGAACGGGAAATCTGCCAGGAGGAATGGCCGCATTTCACTAACAGTATGAGGGGATTGGCTTGGGCAGATAATGTGGAATTCTGAGGAGATGCTGTGGTAGGATGGTGTGGTGAGCAATGGCATGGAATTTTGCAGACCCCATGCCTGGCCCAGAAAGGCCTGAGGAGAGGACGGTGGTGTGCTTTCTACTGGGGAGTGCGTCAGGGACCCATGTCTGGAGGACTGCTGGAAGTAGCATAGTGTCATGGTTAAGAGCACAAGCTTCGGAAGCAGCTGCTTGTGACTTTGCAACCTGTTACGTTAGTTTTGAGCTCACGTAATCTCTTGGGAGATTGTGGTAATAAAAGTGAATGTAGGCTTACCTCTGGAGTCTATGTGATTCTTCCTTTATTCCTAGCTTTGAGAACACTGGTTATTATCACATCTCAAACAAATACGAACTTTTCTTCCTTTGTGTACAAAGTTATTATTTCCAATCTACTTGGCTTTACCACTGCTTTATCCTCAGTTTTCTCATAAGTAAAATGGGGATAATAACAATACTTGTGTTGGCCGGGCACGGTGGCTCACGCCTGTAATCCCAGCACTTTAGGAGGCTGAGGCAGGTGGATCATGAGGTCAGGAGATCGAGGCCATCCTGGCTAGCATGGTGAAACCCCGTCTCTACTAAAAATACAAAAAATTAGCCAGGCGTGGTGGCGGGCCCCTGTGGTCCCAGCTGCTTGGGAGGCTGAGGCAGGAGAATGGCGTGAACCCGGAGGCAGAGGTTGCAGTGAGCCGAGATTGTGCCACTGCACTCCAGCCTGGGCGACAGAGCGAGACTCTGTCTCAAAAACAAAACAAAACAAAACAAACAAAAAAACAGCAATACTTGTGTTGTAGGTGGTTGTACTGATTAAACAAAGTTTGACAGAGGGTTCAGCCCATAGTAGGTACTCCAAATGTTCCTTTATTATCATTGTTATTATTATTAAGGAGTGTTCTGCCACATCAGAGGTTCTACAGGGCAGAGAGTCAGGGTCATGGTGGGAAAGGGATCAAGAAAGCTCAGGTGGGTAGGGCTGGGTTGGGCAGGAAAGGAGTTGGAGAGGAGGCAGGAGGGAGTTTGCGCAGGGAGACAAAGTGGCTAAGAATTGTCTTGGTGGGAGGGAATGAGAGACAGACCAGAAGGCCCTATCTGACCTGCAGTGATGGGGCATTTGCACTGGGGAGTTTCTGGGAACTTTTTCTTCCCCAGACTTTCTCTGTTTTTACTGTTTGCTTGGCTACAGATTACACAGGCAAATGAGCCCAGGCTTCCAGGGAAATATTCCATTAAAGCAATCAAAATAACAATTTGTATCACTTTTAGAACTTCTGCCTGAGGAGCTAAGAAATCTTTGTACTAAATTATTAATTCTGGGTTGTACTGTAAGGATCTTCCCCTACAAACAAACAATTTAATATTTCCTTTTTGGTGCAACAGAGGACGAGTTCTCCGGTCTCCCAGATCTGCCTCAAAAGGAGGGAGGAGGTATTTAAACCCAGACTGTGATACTTCTAAGGAAACTGCCTAACAGAATGTGTCCCGTCCCTCTCGGAGGAAGGGATGGACTGTCAGCCTCGGTAACCTTGTTCTCAGGGACACTCGCCGCTCCCACTTATGGTCGGGCTGCACCTGTGCTGGCCACATGGCAAGGCGGTAAGAGCCAGAGCTCTGGAGTCCCTGGTCCTGGAACCTGGCGTGCGTACCTGCTGGCTGTGTGATTGGGATAGTTTGCTCCCCCTCACTCAGCATCAGTTTCTCCATCCACAAGAGGAGGGTAGCCATGCCGATATGCTAGCACAGAGCTGGTGTGAGGCTCCCGTGTGTCTCCAAAGTCTTGGACAGTGCCTGGCACGTGGGAGACGTTCAGAGGATGTTATTTATTATTATTTGCATTCTCAGGGAATGTCTCAGTGATATAGACACGGCTCTGCCTTTCACCAGGGGCAACGGGGGTGGGGTGCACAGAGAGTGTGTGGGGAGGAGGATGAGGAAGAGGGTGCCAGGTAGGGAAGTGGAAAGAGGAAGAAGAGAAAGAACAAAAGCATGGAGACATATGCATATGCGTTCAGTCTGGGAAAGGGAGAGTAGTTTCAGGTGGCCAAAGTGTGAGGTGTGCTGGGGGTGGGGGTGATGGTTTTGGAAATTCTGTTAAAAATATATATATATATGTTCACACACACATATGCGTACAAATATAATATAATGAAACATCATATAATATGTAATACAGTAATGTAATATCTGGACAGTGCATATCCTTAAATACTTTCACTTGAGACCATTTGAGACCAGCCTGGGAAACAGAGCAAGACCCCATCTCTACAAAAAAACTAAAAGTTAGCCAAGCGTGATAGCTACTCGGGAGGCTGAGGTGGGAGGATCACTTGAGCCCAGGAGTTCAAGGCTGTAGTGAGCCATGATCATGCCACTGGACTCCAGCCTGGGTGACAGAGTGAGACCCTGACTTTAAAAAAATAAAAAATAAATAAACAAATGAATACGTAAAATTTCAGGAAACTGAGGAAATGGTACTTGATCCAAAGCAAGGTTTAAAATTTTTACATTGCATTAGCCTGACAGGACATTTATGGTAGGTTTGGAGCCACAGTGTAATTTTTCATCTTTTAAACATCAGGGCTTGTCACTTTGGATGTTGGAGTATGAGGATCAGTGATGGGCCTGATGGTGCTGCCTCTGGAGCTGCCAGGAAGGGGAACGTTGCTTCCATAAGGGACATCATTTTAGGAACAGGCATATTTATTTATATGGGCTCCTCTGAATAAATTCATTTATGAATAGAATCTGGATGTCAAATTATAGCACATGGAATAAATCTGGAGAAATCCTGTGATATATGTGCCCTGGGGGCAGCACTATTCACTGTTATCCTTTTTCTGGGCTTCTGATCCTGTTTAGAATGGGTTTTTGGGATTTGGAAAAAGTAATCACTTCCCTCCTGTTTTGGCCCTGCACGTGGCTGAGTCATCATTTTACACTGTGGCTTGGGGGTTAGGAGCAAAGGAGCGGGAAGCAGCCATGGGGCTTTCCAAGTTGGTTGGGCCCTGCCTGCTGGTGGTTGGTAAAGAAGTTGCCTCAACTGTCTCCTGGGGATGCTTCCAGGCCAGCTCACCAGTGGATTTCAAGTAACTCAAAATGGACTTAAACCGCAAAGTGTCCTGGTGACCGTAACCTATCTCTAGCACGTAGTTTTCCCTTCCATTACTGGTAGTCAGAAAGCGCATCTATGCTGTGGGGCAAAACAACTCAGACATGTTCACACATGGCCTTGAGAGACAAACCTCTCATTGCTTTGGAGAAGCTTAGCTACAGGAAAATCTTACAGGACAACTGACATTGGTCATTAGATTCCCCTCATGGGCAGATTTGAGGTCAAAATTTCCAGAGGTTTCAACCTGATGAATGTGGCCCAGGTTTTGGCTGGTTGTGGGGAATCTTATTTTCCAGCACTACACACTGAGGTCAGCTGCTCGGGTTTCTCTTGATCTCTCAGTGGTTCCCATGAAAAGTTCCCTGATTTACAAATTCGAGCTGTCCATCTGTGCACCGGGAGAAACACACGGAAATGCTCGAGGCAGCGCTGCTTGGCATTGCGGAGTTCCTGAAGCTCAGGGGCAGCTGGGCCATGGCCCCTCTGCGAGCCTCAGGGAGTCACTTCCTGATGGAGCACTGCATCCTGACGGAGCACTCCTCAGGGAGTCGCTTCCTGATGGAGCACTGCATCCTGACAGAGCACTCCTCAGGGAGTCGCTTCCTGATGGAGCACTGCATCCTGACGGAGCACTCCTCAGGGAGTCGCTTCCTGATGGAGCACTGCAGAGTTTCCTGCGTGCTGTTCCTTTAGGGGGAGGTATATGTGTGCATCTTGGTGTAGAGAACTCAAAGCTGAACACTTTCTAGCCCCTGACCATGCTGTTTTGTAACAATAGAGTACAAATGATGTGCCAGGCACTGATCTGGGCAGTTTGCCTGTATTAACTCATTAAATTCTCTCAACAGCCCTGTGAGGCGGAGACTTTATTTTAATTTTACAGAAAAGGAAACTGAAGAACAAAATAGTTAAGTAACTTTTCCAAGGCCTGCAGCTGGTAAGTTGTGCTGCTGGGATTTGAAGAGCAGCTTCTCTATCTCATTCAAAGAGTGGCCCAAACAATTGGACCGGCTGATCCAATTTGCCAGAAACAATGGCTGTGGATCAAGCATTCTAAAATAATAGTTACTATTTTTAGGATCTGTTTCTTGTGTTAAACAGATCTATAAATAGCAATGCCCTTTGATAGGTTACTTGATTTGGTTATCTTGGCATAGATGTCATCTTGGAAGGTATGGGTACAGTGGCTTACACCTGTCATCCCAGCACTGTGGGAGGCCAATGTGGGAAGATCACTTGAACCCAGGAGTTTGAGACAGCCTGGGTAACATAGTAAGACCTCATCCCTACAAAAAATTGAAAAATTAGCTGGGCATGGTGGCTCATGCCTGTAGTCCCAGCTACTAGGGAGGCTGAGGCAGGAGGACTGATTGAGTCCAGTAAGTGGAGGCTGCACTGAGTCATGATTGTGCCACTGTACTTCAGCCCTCCCTGGGTGAGAGTGTGAGACCCTGTTTCAAACAAACAAACAAAAAACTAAAAAAAAAAAGACAGTTGTCCAAAGGGAGTTTTGTTTTTTACCATAAAGACAGGAATGTGGCTGTACCTGTCCCAAATATCTTCCAGTTCATAGCCTTTGTGACTGTGTTATACAGAGAGGAACTTTGGCGTCTCCGTCATCTATAGATCTGTGCGTTGGAGGTCTGTGATTGTTGCTACAGCAGTCTTCTGAGGGGATTCCTGTCCCTGTCTGTGGGTAGTTGCAAGGCTCACTCTGCGTGGCTTCAGGCCTGGGTTCCTGTCAGGTCACTGAGCTTTCACATGAGGGTGTCAGTACCACTTCCAGCTCGGTCTGTGTTTAACCATAGGCACAGAGCAGCATCCCTCCGGTCCCCGGTTAGAAATAAAAATGCTTGGAGAACATTTAATTTATGTCCCTTTCATTTATTTTAAAATCATTACCGGATAAAGCCATTCAATTGGGTAACTGCCCCACCAGTGTGGTCCCCTTAGAGTTATACTGAACCCATATGGAGACACCCTAAGAAATCACGTTTGAAAACCACCCCTGGATCTGAAGCGCATTCGGCACTTTCTCAGCTTGCTCTTTAGGGGGGTTTTGGGGAGAAATTCCACCTGGTTTGAGAGTTAGTCAGAAAACCTCTGAGTAATGGGCGGTCTGCATCTCATGGACTCTGTGAGGTCGTGAACCAGCTTCCCTTCTCCAGCTGGCAGTGGGGAGGGCCTCATGCAGTCCTTCCTGGAGTGAGATTAAAAGCCTCCAGCCTCATCTCCTGGCTTTGAGGATGTGGAGAGCATGGTGGTTGAGAGTGGGCACTAGGGCCAGGCTGTCTGGGTGCCGTCCTGGCTCCATCACCTACCAGCTGCACGATTCGGGCAGGTTATTTGCCCTTGCTAAGTCACAGTTTCTTCATCTAAAAAATGGGGATAATGAGTGCTTGCCTTATAGGGCTGTTAGAGGTTTCAATGAGGTCCCTGTGACATGTGGCACATGTTGACATGAGCGTGCCCCATGTGTTTGTTGTTGGGTCCAATTATTATTATTTTTTAATCAGCTTTTATTTTTTTGAGACAGCGTCTCTTTTTGTCACCCAGGCTGGAGTGCAGTGGTGCAATCATAGTTCACTGTAACCTTGAACTCCGGGGCACAAGCAATCTTCCTGCGTCAGCCTTCTGAGCAGGTGGGACTACAGGTGTGCACCAAAGTACCTGGCTGATTTTTTATTTTTGTAGGGATGGAGTCTTGCTATGTTGTCCAGGCTGGTCTCAAACTCCTGGCCTCCAGTGATCCTCCTGCCTCAGCCTCCCAAGTCCCTGAGATTACAGGTGTGAGCCACTGAGCCCAGCTCTAGTCACTTATTGGGTCCATTTTATGTTTTCCCTTTTTCTGTCCTTTCTTCCCTCCATACCTCCATATATTTTTTACATCCTTGTGAGCTGCTTATATCTTTTCTGGAAAGTAGTGAGGTATGAAAAAATGAGTGATT
The DNA here is from genome assembly GCF_000001405.40 of Homo sapiens. Taxonomy (NCBI): domain Eukaryota; kingdom Metazoa; phylum Chordata; class Mammalia; order Primates; family Hominidae; genus Homo; species Homo sapiens. The sequence continues at coordinate 36,943,764 of NC_000009.12, read as the reverse complement.
AATACAGTTAATTAATATAACAATGGCTTATAGGTGTAGGTTCTTTGGAACCTACGCCTATTCTTCTCAAAGTCTTTCATGTGTCTTTTCTGATTTTATTACAAAAATTCTCTTGCAACATTAATTTACCCAGAATTCTTACACAGTGATCCTTAGGCCTTCTTTTCTGGTATTAAGTAGCTTGCAAATATGTAGCTGTGTGTGTGTGTGTGTGTGTGTGTGTGTGTGTGTGTGTATGTTGAACTAATCCACAAATACTCAGCAATATCTTTAGGAGAGCTGAAGTTAGCAAGTAAGATCAGCTTTATTGTACTGTGAAGATCTGATTTTCGAAAGTAACGTGGGGTGTGTAAAACTCCAGTCTCGTGTCCTAGAGGCCAAGCATAGCCATTTGAAATGAGGAATAGGAAAGAATGGGGAAACAGATTGGAGCCACCACCTATGGGATGCTAGGAGCCAGACAGGTAGGCACTGAGGAGACTTGGGGATGCCAGACTCCCCATCTTTGCCTGGGCTCCCCCTTGGCCTGCACCCACCTCAAGGCAATGTGCCTGGGGAGGCAAACCTGATGGACCCGTAAGTCAAGGTGATTCTGGCCACATCCCAGGGAATGGGAAGAAAAGAACGTGAAGCAATGGAGATGGGGGACGGTGGGACTGAGATGGAGAATAGCTGGATTTGGCAGGGCTAGGGTGGGCCTGCACTGGAGGAGGGTAAGCACAAGGACATAGCAGGCCCTGGGTAGGGAAACTGAGAGCTGGGTGCAGAGAAGGAGAGCGGGAAGACAAGGGTCAGCGGGTGTTACGCTCCATGGTTAAAGGCTGAGGCACTTGCAGCCTTGTAGGGTAGCGTCAGCAGTGCTGAAGGCCGTTGCCCGGCCACCAGGCCCTGCCCTTTCATGGCACTGCTCCTCCTGGGCTCACTCTCTTGCAGGCAAAAGCCAGGCCCCACAACCTCTAGCAACTCCTCTGCTAAAAGCTCTGCTTCCAACATCAGCACTTGTAGCTACATAACCTAGGTTAAAATTTTATTAATGGCGTGATCATGGGAAAGTCACTTCATCTCTCTGTGCCTCAGTTTCTGCATCTGCAAAAAGGAAGAAGAATGAGAACCACACCCCTCTGGTAGAGGCAGAACAAAGCCCAGTATGAAAGCTGTGTCAGCAGCTGAGCACGACTCTTACAACAGAGCAGGGACTTGCACACGTCCCACCCCTGGGTCCTCCTCAAGCCCACCTAGCACATGGAGGGGGACTCTGTGTGTAAAAGGTGCTGTGAAATTACCTGACTGCTTTCACATCTGTGGCCTTGTTTGATCACTGTGAACGCTTCTGTGATATGAAGGCAAGCAGACGCTATGATTCCCATTTTGCCTGTGAAGCAAGTGTAAGCCAGGGAAATGCATTTTCTTTGCTCTTCCTAACTCCAAGTGTTGCTTTTCCTGAGACCTGGGCTCTGATTTGAGGCCTCCTGTCTTACAACAGTGTCCCCTTGATCAAGTCTTTCCCCTTCAGCTTCCATCTGAAAATTGAGGGGATGGGAATGGGGATACCCCAAATCCCTTCAGCTCAGACGCTGCCTAGAGTTATAGGCCTGACCTAGGAGGCCTGGGTCCTTTCCCTGAGCCAAGGAGAGGGTCAGGCTCCTGGACACGCAGGTGGGCACACGAGTTCATGTTTCAGCCATCAGCTGCCTGGGCACACTGCCAGGGTATTAAATGAGATAATGAGATAACACGTGCAAAGTGACTAGCACTTGATCGAGTGCTGCTATTATTATTTTTACTACCACTATTATTCTTCAGGAAGCAGAAGTGAGTTCAAGTACAAGCTCTTTTTCTTACTAGCTATGTGATTGGAAAGGGTCTGTCTTGGGAGATGCCCTATGCACCCCTGCATCATCCAGTGAGCCTGGTGTGAGTCTCATGTCCTGGAGGCCAGGTGTAACCATTTCTCCATCTCAGTCCCACCCCCGCCCCCACCTCCACCGCTTCATATTCTTTGCTTCCCATTCCCTGTGACGTGACCAGAATCACCTTGACTTGTGGGTCCACCAAGTTTGCCTCCCCAGGGGCATTGCCTTGAGGTGGGTACAGGCCAAGGGGGGAGCCCAGGCAAAGAGGGGGAGTCTGAGGTCTCCAGATCCTCCCCAGTGCCTACCTGGCTGGCTCCTAGCATCTCACAGGTGGTGGCTCCAATCTGTTTTCCGTTCTTTCCTATCCCTCATTTCAAATGGTTGTGCTTGACCTCCAGGGCATGAGCTGGAGCCAGGACAGGAGATTCACGCCCGGCATACTGGGTGATGCATGGGTGCATAGGATACCCCTCAAGACGGACGCTCTCAAATCACACAGCTGGTAAGAGGCAGAGCTTGTATTTGGACTCACTTCTGCTGCTTCCTGAGGAATAATAGCGGTAGTAAAAAGAATAGATAGCAAAGCTCTGTCAAGTGCTGGTCACTTGGCACACATCATCTCATTTAATACTCAGAACAACTCTGTAAGGGAAAAACTATTATGAGTTGTGTTCCACAGATAGGTAGCTGAGGCACACAGGGGCAAAGCCAGGGTCTGTGATGGGTGGTGCTGGGGTTCTAACCCAGCTCTGTCTGCTTCCTGAGCCTGCTGGCTTAGCGGCTGTGCAGGCCACGCCCTTGCACGCTAATCCGTGCTTTCTCTTACCCTACAGCTGCCTTCCAATATGGTTTAGCGTTTACTGGGCATTTTCACTCTGTTGCTCACCAGCAGCAGCTCTAGTGCTTCTGGGCCTGTTCCTGCCTTCATTACCCCTTGTGCCTGGGCCTCTGTCTCTCCCACTTAACCTGTTTTCAGGGCTCTAATTATCCACTCTCTACCTGGACCCGTAATCTTCTCCTCTCATTGCGTTTCTTTAGGATATTTTCCGAGTACCTGCCGGGTGCCTGGCACTGCTCTAGGTACCTGGAGATTCAGCAGAGAACAAAGCAGATGAAAATCACTGCCCTTGTGGAGCTTCTAGACTCCTGGACGGAGATGATTTCTGACCCTGATGCCTGGGTGCCTCTCCAGACTCAAATTCGATTCTCCCTGGTGCTGTGCACTGAGAGCCCTGCCTTCTCCTGCTTGCTGTTCCTGGGACAGCAGCACATCCTGGTGTCCACTTCTAGAGGGCCTGTTTTCCCCTGGAGACCTGACCTCCTCCTCCAGGCACCCTGGGGATGTTGCCGTGGGCTCAGGGCGGGTCCCAGGGCTGCTCCTGGGGGTCGTGTGCGCAAGCATGTGATTTACCGCGCCTCACTGCGCCACACGTCTTTAAAATTACAGTGCCCATTTCCTGCTGAAATAATTTCCACAAAGAGTGGCTCCTATTACCACAAGAGGCGTGCAGACGTCATGATTTATTATTATTTATGGTCCCAAGGCCTTGTTTATGCAAGATGGGTTAGGTGCGTGCGATAGAAATGCCATTATGTAAATGACATTGAATGTCCTTACTGCGCCTAAATAATTTTTGTGTTGGACGATTAAACCTCATCTGTTATTGATATGGGCTGCAGTCGGGCCATTACAGAGTCCCAACAGTACTTACTCCCAGTAATGGGAAAATTGAGAGAGAGAGACCAACGCAATTGCCTCAAGTGGGCTGTGATGGTCTGGAAGGAGTAGAACATCTCCGGGGCTGAGCAGGGGAGCCTCAGACTCCTCAGGATAAATAAGGAAGGCAGCGCCGGGCAATAAATTAAGCCCCGGCTGGAGTGGGTGCCTTGCAGGATTTGCAGCCTTCCAGCCCTGTGATTTAGCTATTTGATTTAGCCAGGGGACTAGGCAGCCCCAGCCCGAGTTCCAGTGAGGCCCCGCGTCGAGGGGAGGGTGACAGGAGGAGAGTGGCCACGAGGACACTGGGCATCCAATCTGCTGCGCCCACACGACGCCAGCGTGCACCCGCACGCGAGCGCTCTCTCACTCTCTCTCTCTTTCTCTTGCTTTTTCTCTCTCTCCCTCTCTCTCTCCCTCTTTTTTTTTGACACAGCTGTGAAGTCCCATTTTGATCAGTGTTGATAGCTTATGAATTCCAAAATTGACAAAATTTACAGAAAAATGAGGATAATCCATCTTCCTTAGCAGGCTGTCAGGAGCTGGCCATACTTCATAATCTCCAATTACAGATGCTATTTTCCGACATTTACATGCAGATATTAGAACCAAATGAAAATGAGAAACAAAGAGGGAATGGAAATGCAGCTATTTATATGTATAAAAGACAAACAGGTAAATTCAAGACATTTAGATTGGATTTGGGGTCCCTTTAGGAGGCTGGAAAGAGACAGCCTTGAGCACGTGGGGTTTCAGAACAAAATGGCAAGACACGTGGTCTCAGCAGGGCCTACCCAGGGTCTGGTGGTTTGGGTTAAAAATGGGTCAGCCCTGCCCAAACGGCTAAGGATGCTTGACTGGGGGTGGGGGACACGTAGGGCATCCCCCAGGGCTTTAAGGGTCTCTGAGGATCACCCACAGCCCATACTGAGCAGTAAAACCCACACATATTTCATGAAAGGGCCAGTTTAGAACCTTCCACATTTATTTTAAGAAAGAAAGGGTGGTGGGGCAACTACCATTGGAGCTTTGCCCTAGGGCAAATTTAAAAAGTTGGCCCTTTCTGGTGACAGAATGTACATACTCCCGCTGAGAAGGGGACACAGGAAGGGGCCGCTGCTTGTCAGAAAGGCCCTGGCCAGGTGCATAGGGAGTTGCACCAATAAACTTTTAAAATGGGATATAAATAATAAAATTAATGGGGAGAGAAGGAGTTCTGATATATGGATCATCCGCTTCCTTCTCGAGGCTAATCTGGCTGAGAGAGGAGGGTCTGGGAGGAGGCTTTGTAATGAAAATGTTCTTCCCATAAAATTGAAGGGAGAACAGCCTTGTTGCCCTCGCAGCTGTATGTGGCACTGACTTCTGGAAAGCCGGGGATATTAATTAGCACTGCTTTGGATTAAACTCTCCCAACCATGTCGGATGGTACGATTTTTCTCTTTGTGAGCTTGACAGAGGGTGGCAGGAAGGATCCTGCCTGGGTTTTCCCAGCCTACTGTTATTACTGAACTTTTATTTGGGGATAAAACCTCTTCCTTTCCTGGAAATAAAAATGAAATATTCCAGGGTTTTCCAGGGCAATTGGGCAGAGAGAGGCTGTTTTGTTGGACCAGGCAGAGGAGGTGGAGACGGTTGGATGGGGAGATGTGAACATCTCAGTTGCTTTTGGCTTGAAAGCTTTTGTTTGTTTGTGGGAAGCCTATTTCTAGCAAGCAGTTTTATGTTATTTGAGCTTTGATTTGTGGGAAAGAGGTGAAGGAAATAAAATCAGGAGTCTAAATTAATATATGTGTGTGTGTAAGGGAGAAGAAATTATTAAAAATCCAACTCAGACCAAGCCTTTAGACGTGTGTTTGTTTACATGTCTAGCCTCAAGGCAAATGGCTTGCTTGTCTAAGTAAATTATAGGTATTAGCACGAAAAATAATTATTATGCTTTGTTTCTAGGTATGAAATGCAAGATTCATGGAATTAACACATAACCACAAAATGCAAATATATTTCCGTAATTAAAAGCAGAAGCTCTTAAGTAAAGTTAACCCTGATAAAAAGGCATACAAGCAGAAACACCACCGTTGCTGTGCTAGTTTTGTCTAGATTATTGACATTAGCTAAAATTTGGGCTTACACATCATAGCTAAATCCTAAGCCTAGTGTCTCCTTCCTTTAGTTTCTGATCTTTCTAGAAGCCAGAATATCACCTTCAGTAAAGAACAGAGAGGACTTGAACTAAGCAAACAGTCACATGCCTGGTTTTTCCTTAATGGTGCTAACAGTGCCACATGTTACTGTTTATTTCTCTATTGTTTTGCACTAATGTTAAGATGAATTGCTAATGTTGGCATTAAATGGGAGCCCTGCTGTCCTCTGAGTTGACGGTGTAGGAGCTTTCTGTCTAAATGAGGAGAATAAAGGATAAAGTTAACAACATCTGCGGCTAAACCTATCTGGAAACCTTTTCTATAGGAGGTCATTCTTCAGCCAGGATTTGAAGGGGTGGATAGACAGGAACTGGAGGAGAGAAAGTGAGAGGGCGCCCGGCGGGGAAAGCATGGCCATGTCAAAGGTGCAGAGTCAGGTGGGTTATCTAAAGAGGTCACCAAACACAGGAAGAGGAGCCTGGCCTAGCAGGTGGTGTCCCCGTCAGGGCTCCGGCACATCGTGGAGCAGTTTACAATCAGAGTAAAGAACACAGGCTTTGGAGTCAAACAGAAGCTGGGTTTAACCCCCGGCTCTGCAACTTACTCAACTTCTGTCAACCTCAGTGTTCTCATCTGCAACTTGTTGGGGTTAGTAACAGTGGCAGAGGGGGTGTAGAGTGGTGTTTCAGAGCTTGGACTCTGGAGTCGCACTGCTGGGGGGTGAACTGGACACGTTATTTTGGCACCTTGTGTCTCATTTTCATCATCTGTAAAGGGAGGGTAGTAATACTTACCCTGTAGGGTTGTTGCAAGGATTAAATGAATTATTAGTAATACATTTTAACATCTAGAACAGTACCTGGTACACAGTAAGCACCCAGTCAATGCAAGTTATTCCGCCTCTTAGTAAAGGTATGTGAGGGTGTAGGGGGAGCTGGTAGAGTCTTCTGAATGGCAAACCAGGGAGTCTGAATTCACCATGAGAGGCCTTGCCTTTGCAGCCTTCTCTTTCTGGTAGTTGCCTTGCACAGTTTTTGTTTGGCCCTAGGAATCCTTGGTGACCCAGAGGGCACTCCCTCCTGAGGCTGGCTGGGTATGCCTTTGCAGAGCATCACGTGTTAGGAAGTTCCTTCTGACAGGGAGCGGAAGGGCAGAGAGGTGGTCTTTGGCCTGAGGAGTGTGTGTGTGTGTGTGTGTGTGCATGTGTGTGTGTGTGTGTGCATGTGTGTGTGTGCCTGCAGGTTCCCACATGGCCAGAGGTGGTGGTGGTGGGGAGGGGCATCCAGGCCCACCTCCCTGTCCCCACCCTGCCACCCTATTGATCTGGCCATGTGGAGTGAAGTTTTCTCTTTTCATTTCTCCATGCCTCCAACATAACCTTTCTGTCTTCCTTGTAGCTGGGAAGTCATGCCAAAAGAATGTGAACTATGAGAGTCTTAGGGTGCTCCCTCTCCTCCCATGCTAGGTATTTGAGGATGGGGATCCTCCCTTTGGACCCCTCATTCAGGCCCCTTTGTGGCCAAGAGTCCTGCACTCCCTTGGAGGTAATGGCCTCCCTGCCCATTACTAGCCATGTAGTGGGAAGAGCAGCTGGGCCCCATCATGGACTGCCTGGAAGAAGCCTGTGGAACTTGGCCACCTGGAGATGGAGCTTTGTCCCTGGAACTTTCCCTCCCTTTGTCCACATTAGGCTCTGGAGCTGCTCGTGACCCAGCCAGGCAGAGCTGTAGCAGGTGCAGAGGTTTCCCAGACAGGGAGTCCCCATCCCCCTTCCCCACAGGAGTCAACCCTACTGGGATCTTACTGTTTAGGAGGCTTTGACTACCGGGTCCTGGGCCACTGGGTCCCAGTTCTCATTCTCCAGAAGTGGAGCTTTGTGCTCTAAGCCTTGTCAGGATAACCTTTCTGTCCACGTATTTGGGAAGACCTGTGAGCTTGCAAATAGCACACTGGTTAAGGGAAGGAGAAAATACCTAATCACTTTCCATTTCTAATGAACTTAGAGTGAGCCCTGCCTTGACCGTGAGAACAGTATGAATCAGTCAGGTTCTAGGCTACCAGGAAAGCAGAAGCAAGCATCATACGCCCCAGTCCGACAGCATGTCTGGTGGAGGAGTGGAGGCCCTGGGGCCCCGTGCTGGATCCAGGCAGGGAGGGCACTGGCACCTGTAGGACCTCTGTTGGAACTGGAGCTCCAGAGAGCACACCCAGGACCAATGTAGGGAGACCAGCATTTAGCACTTTCTCACACCGGAGCTGTGTGGCTGCCTCGGAAAGTAGTGAGTTCCCATCACTGGAGATACCCATTTGGTGGATTTCAAGTGCCAGGTAAAGATCAGCCTACAGCACTCCTGAGCTCCATTAGACCCTGAGATTTGGGGCTTACTAAAATTCCGTAAGAGGACAGGGGAAGAAAAGGGCCTTCTGATTAGTCATTGCTGAAAAGTTGCTCTCGGACAGAAGTTAAAATGTCTGACTTTGGTGGCCTCCCTGGGCTTCCCCTGCTGGTACCCACCACCACTTGGGAACCTGTCTGGGGGTGTGCCTGAGGGGGGCCTGGCAGGCTGTAAACAGAACAGGGGGAGATGAGTCACTGAAACTGTATAGATCTCTTCTTGGAAGCCCTTCAATTCTGCTGCAAATCATTTTTTTTTTTGTTTGTTTGCTTCGGAGATGGAGTTTCGCTCTTGTTGCCCAGGCTGGAGTGCAATGGCACAATCTCCGCTCACTGCAACCTCCGCCCCCCGGGTTCAAGCAATTCTCCTGCCTCAGCCTCCCAAGTAGCTGGGATTACAGGCATGCACCACCATGCCCGGCTAATTTTGTATTTTTAGTAGACACAGGTTTCTCCATGTTGGTCAAGCTGGTTTCAAACTCACAATCTCAGATGATCTGCCCGCCTCGGCCTCCCAAAGGGCTGGGATTACAGGCATGAGCCACCATGCCTGGCCTGCTGCAAACCATTTTGACCCAGGCCATGAGTACATTTCTGGAGAAACAAATGAATAAAGAGCGTGTTTGGCCCATGTCCGTGGCAACCTCTGATGAATAAAAGCACCTTGACATCACTTATCCTCTCAGTGACCCTGGGAAGCACCTCTGGCACCGTTGGAAGAGCCAGGCCATGGTACCTGTCCAAGTTCATTTGATTCCACAGGCATTTATGTCACATCTGTTCAGAGCTGGGCACTGGGCCAGGAGCTGCTGCCACAAAGATGAGGGAGACACTGTCTCATCCTTATGAAGCTCACACTCTAGCTGGGGGATGATGTCCCTAAACAGTTAAATGTATAATGCAGAATAATAAGTGCTGTGGCAGAGAGAGGCACACTCAGCCATTTTAGGAACACAGAGAAGGGGGAATCCATGAGGGCTTCCTGGAAGAGGAAGGCCCTTCAACATCCTTTGTAGTACTTCCCCCTAGTTAATATTAATGGTAGCACTTTGTAGATTATGGAGTATTTCTGCAAGCATCATTCAATTAAACTTTTTATTTTGAGATAACTGTAGATTCATATGCAGTTGTAAGAAATAATACCGAGGACTCCTATACACCCTTTACCGAGTTTCCCTCCACAAAAACATCTTGTAAAACTATAGTACAATAAATTGACACTGATAGACATTGAGTCCAAGATACAGGCTATTTCTACCACTGCAAGGATTCCTCCTGCTGTTTTTTCAGTAGACATTTTCAAAGTATTTATTTATGAGTCTAGCACTGGGGACTCAAAAACTGAAACGCAAAAGGCCTGCCCTCCAGGGCTTTATTCTGATCTCTCTTCTGGGCTTTCTCACAACCTTGTGAGGTAGGTCACATATCCCCCTTACAAATGAGAAAAGGTACCAAGAGTGAGAGGTGCCTGGCCTAGTTTCACACAGCACAGACTTGGCCGTGTCAGGCTTGAAGTCTGTCCTCCTGGCCCCAGACCCGGTGGAATTCCTCAGCCACGCTGCCTCCCCTGGTTGCTGTCAGGCCTCTGGATTCGGGGACCTGAGGTCAAACGGGCAACATCTTCACCAGCCCACAGAGGGAACCTAAGCCCTTCCTGGGGCCATATCAAGGAGAACCCCATTCCACACAGTGAGGACCCCATCTTGGTGGGCACAGACATTAGTGAGTCAGAAGGGCCCCAATGGATTTGGTCCATCTCCCTCATGACAGATGGAGTCACTGAGGCCTGGCAAGGGGAGGGTCTGGCCCTGGTTGCATGGGAGTCCAGGGCAGAGCCAGGTCTCCAGGTCCCTTGCCACCCCATCTGATCCATTGTAATCAAGGCAGAACTACTCCTTAACATACACTTTGCCAGGTGGAATTTTGTGTGTCCAGGTTTAAAGAACGCAGGGCATTCCTCCTTGCAGATTCAGTGCTCTTTCCCCAGCTGGAGGAGGATAGTGGGTGTGTGGCCAGGGCCCTTCATGGAGGAGTGTCTGAGCTGTACCTTCAGGGGTGGCAGTAAAGTCCCCTCCAACTCTAACTCTGCTTCCAGGTAGGGGACCAGTGCTGCACACGGGGTGGGCAGCAGGGCTCCCCTCTCTGAGCTCTAGTTCTGCATCTGTCCACATCCCAGGACTCCCGGGGCACCACGGACCTGCAAGGACTTTGCAAACTGGAAAGTGCTAGGCAGGCAAGAGGACTTAGACTTCTTGTGTTTGGAACTTTGGCATCCCTGAAGATGCAGGGATGATGGCTTTCAAGGAGCAGGGCAGGGCACCAGGAAGAGGAGGCGAGAGAGTAAGCTCCTGGCTGTCCTTGGCTTCTTGCGTTCTCTCGTTATTTCACAGGTATTTGTTGGATGGCTGATGAGCGGTGACAGGCGGTGCCATGAGTCAAATATGTGTGGTTTAACTTTATTTATTTTAACTATGGAGACTTTCTTTCTTTTTTTTCCTTTTTTTTTTTTTTTGAGACAGGGTCTCCCTCTGTCACCCAGGCTGGAATGCAGTGGTGCGATCTTGGCTCACTGCAAAGTTCGCCTCTGGGGTTCAAGCAATTCTCCCACTTCAGCCTCCTGAGTAGGTGCCCACCACCACAGCCTGACTATTTTTGTATTTTTAGTAGAGATGGGGTTTCATCATATTGGCCAGGCTGGTCTTGAACTCCTGACCTCAGGTACTCCACCTGCCTCAGCCTCCCAAAGTGCTGGAATTACAGGTGTGAGCTACCGTGCCCAGCCATAATTACGGAGACTTTCAAAGTAGACTTGGAGTAATTTAATCAGCCTCCAAGCACCCCTCCCCCAGATTCAACTCATGACAATTGTTGCACTGATATCCCTCCCCCGACACACTCCACTTATCTTTTAATGGCTTTATTGAAATATAATTTTTATATCATAAAATTCACTCATTGTAAGTGCATGAATCAATAGTTTTTAGTAGATTTAAGGAGTTATGCAACTATCACCACAGTTTGGTTTTGGACTCGTTTCATCACTCCAGAAAGATCCCTCATGCTGGTTTATAGTTAATCTCTGATCCCACCCCCATCTCCAGCCAATCATGGATCTGTGCTCTGTGCTTGTAGATTTGCCACTTCTAGCATCTCTATGGGCTATCCTATATGTCTGGACTTTTTCACCTAGCATAATGCTTTTGAGATTCATCCATGTTGTAACATGTATCAGCACTCCACCCCTTTTCACTGTTGAATAGTATTCCATTGTGTAGATATACCACATTTTATTAACTGCACTTTATTTTTCGACAAACTTCAGACATTATGTCACTTCACCTGTAAATATTCTAGAATGAATCTTTAAAAGACACAATCTTTTATTATTTTTTTGAGACAAGGTCGCCCAGACTGGAGTGCAGTGGTGTGATCAAGGCTCACTGTGGCCTCAACCTCCTGGGCTCAAGTGATCCTCCTGCCTCATTCTCCAAAATAGCTGGGACTACAGGCATGCCACTATGCTTAGCTAATTTTTAATTTTTTTGTGGAGATGGGGTCTTGTTATGTTGCCCAGGCTTGTCTCAAACTCCTGGCCTCAAGTAATCCTCCTGCCTCAGCCTCCCAAAATGCTGGAATTACTGGTGTGAATCACAGTGCCTAGCCAGACAAGACCTTTTAAAAAGCATAACCACACCACTATCACATCCACAAAGTTAGCACATCCATTCATGTCATCAAATACTCAGTTGGTGCTCACATTGCCAATTGTCTCATTATATGTTATGATTTTTTTTTTTTTTTTTTTGAGACAGAGTCTCACTCTGTTGCCCAGGCTGGAATGCAGTGGCTCGATCTCGGCTCAGTGTGCAGCCTCCGCCTCCTGGGTTCAAGCAATTCTCCTGCCTCAGCCTCCTGAGTAGCTGGGACTGCAGTCACATGCCACCACGGCTGGCTGATTTTTTTATTTATAGTAGAGATGGGGTTTCACCGTGTTGGCCAGGCTGGTCTTGAACTCCTGATCTCAGGTGATCCGCCCACCTCAGCCTCCCAAAGTGCTGTAATTACAGGCGTGAGCCACCGCGCCTGGCCATGTTTTTTGTTTTTTGTTATTTAATGATTATTTATTTTACAGTTTGTTTGAATCAGGGTCCACATTGTGACTATCGATTTGTCTCTAAGCCTCCTTTAACCTACAGGTTCACCATCTCTTGTTCTTGACTTGCCATTCATTTGTTGAAGAGGGAATCTAGACTTTGTCATGTGGCCAGTGATAGAGGCAAAGAGCATCAGCAGTGGAAGGAGACTTAGAGATCCTCCAGTGAAGGTCCTCAGACAGGTGGGGAAGCAGAGGCCAGTGAAAGGAGGGGCTTGCAGACCCCTTTGCCTGCTCAGCCTCAGTCGCTGGAGCCAGGCTCTGGAGACACCTCTCACCCACTCCAGCTTCTGTCCTCCTTCTGGGTAGATGTAGAGGTGGGCAGGTGTCTGGTCCTTCAGAATGGGAATGGTTGGCCTGGCTCTGGCCCAGCTCCCAAGGGATACCTGTGGCCTGGCGGTGAGCCTACAGGAGCCCAGCAGGTGACAGGGAGGCCTCCTGGCCCCAGGTGGCCATCTGAGGTGACCAGCCCTGCAGCCTTGCCCCATGCGCTGCCCTCTTTTGTGCTGCCCTCCTTCTCACGTGTCTGTGTTTCTTTTCTCCTCCATGCTATGGCAGTGGTGCCCCGTGCTGATGAGACAATACTTGGTGCAGCCCCAGGCAGTCCTTTTCCAGGTAATTTCCTAGGGACCCAAATGATGCCCAGTGCACACTCTCCTGGGGCACGTGCCTCCTTGAGTCCCTTGCTAGAATTCCTGAACCTCTCATATTGCTTAGTTTCCAAAGTGGTGTCCCTCTCCTTACCCCTCAGATTCTCATGATCGTCGAGGTAGGCAGGCAGCTAGGGACTAGAATTAAAATTTCATTTTACTCATGGTGAAAATGAGATTCATAGAACTGGCCCAGCTCACCTACAGCCACACAAGTGAGAAAGGGGCAGAGCTGGGACAAAAACCCTGTGTTATCACTCCTAGTTCAGTCTTTTTTCCCCCACTGGGTCAAAGGCTATCAATGATGCAGATAAAAATGAACTAAGGGCCAGGCGCAGTGGCTCACGCCTGTAATCCCAGCACTTTGGGAGGTTGGGGTGGGTGGATCAATTGAGCTCAGCAGTTCAAGACCAGCTTGAGCAACATGGTGAAACCCCATCTCTACAAAAAATTAAATAATTAGGTGCTGGGTGTGGTGGCGTGTGCCTGTAGTCCCAGCTACTTGGGAGGCTGAGGTGGGAGGATCCCTTGGGCCTGGGAGGTTGAGGCAGCAGTGAGCCATGATTGTGACACTGCACTCCAGCCTGGGTGAGAGAGCAAGACCTTGTCTCAAAAAAAAAAAAAAAAAAAAAAAAAGGACATCCATCCCTATCCCTGTACCTCAGTTTTTCTATGTTGGGAAAGATGACCCTGACTGTCCTTCTATTATAGTTCTGATATTTCAGAGGACAAGCTGTTCCATCATCTAGAACATGGTGTCTGTGAGGATGGTGCACACACCTTGAGCTGGTGGTCTTGACCTTGAGGTCTTATAAGAGTCTGTGGCAGCTGGGTGTGGTGTCTCATGCCTGTAAATCCCAGCACTCTGGGAGGCTGAGGTGGGTGGATCATCTGAGGTCAGAAGTTCAAGACCAACCTGACTAACATGGTGAAACCCCATCTCTACTCAAAATACAAAAATGAGCTGGGCATGGTGGTGGGTGCCTGTGATCCCAGCTACTCAGGAGGTTGAGACGGGAGAATCACTGAAACAGGGAGGTGGAGGTTGCAGTGAGCCGAGATTGCACCATTTCACTCCAGCCTGGGCAACAGAGCGAGACTCTGTCTCAAAAAGAAAGATTCTGTGGCAGCAGGCAGAGGAAGTTTTATCCCAATGGTTGCATTGCAGTGGGAAATCTGTGAATTGCTGACTTCAGTTCATTTCTGTTCCTGGGTCATGGTCAAGGACAGCACCAGGGTGCCCTGATGAAGAGGGAGAAGAAGCCTAAAATGACATCCTAAGAAAGAACCCCAAGGGCTCAGAAAAAGTAGGAAATGTAGAACACAGCTGTTGCCTGTGATTCTTAGGGGCTGGGGTTGGCGGGGGCAATGTACCCAAGTATGTAGGTGCACCAACACACTTACACATCTGTGACTGCGTGTGTACCTCTGCACCCCGCCACTCAGCCTTTGGCTTCGAAAAAACTGAGAAATGGAAGTAGAATGCCGTTGTTACCAGGAAAAGAGGCACCAGGAATTCCTTTCCTCTTCTCTTTCTTTCTCTCTCTCTCTCTCTCATCCATCCTTCCTTCCTTCCTTCCTTCCTTCCTTCCTTCCTTCCTTCCTTCCTTCCTTCCTCCTTCCTTCCTTCTTCCTTCCTTCCTTCCATCTTTCTTTTTCTGTCAGTTCACCTTTCCCAGCCTTCACTTTCACAAAGAACTTGAGGTGGCCTGCAAAATAAGCAAGTATGTGTATCTAAGTTAAGTTTGGAAAAAAAGTTCAGAAATTACATAGAGAAAAGGGGAAGATCATTGTGGCAGGAGCCAGCAATGATGTGCTTATGGTGGTTGAACACTGAATTTGACCGAGTTTCCTGGCAGTCAAAGCCAAAAGAGACATGCAGTGGTTTCCAGTGTTCTTGTTGTTTAGTCAGAGGCAGATTAATGACTCACCAGGGGAAACACTTTACTGGTGTTGAATTGTAGGAGGGATTGATAAGGAATTTGAATATTCTAGTGGGCAGTGTCCCCAGAGGTTTTAAACAATCTTCTTTTTATGGCTGTTTTCTTTTTTTGCCTCGTAAAAGTGTTGAATGCCTGATATTCCATCAGAGACTGGTGAAAGCACCACCCAGGGGCTTTAATATGTTGGATAGGGATGTGGCTTTCTGGTGACCTGACTCGATGTGGGGTAGAGGTGGAAGGAGGGAAGGGGATGTTAGCGTATCACTTAGTGCTCTTGTTCAAACACTTCCCAGTTAATTTTTGAGTGTTGTAGCTCATAACATGCTACTGAACCATTATTCATTCATTCATTCAACAAGCACTTAGGGGGCACTAAGGATGTTCCATGTTCCACACTGTCAAGGCAACCTGGAGGGAGATAGACAAACAGCCACTCTACATGGTGATAATGGAGGTCTGTGCAAAAAGCCACCAAGTATGGAAGCATAGACAAGGGAGAGATTGTTTCTTTGTAGGAGTGTGGAGTTCAGGAATGGCTCCACCAAGGAGGTGACATGTGAACTGGGTCTTGTGGATAATGTAAGAGTTCTCTAAGTCACGGAGTGAGAGGGACCCTCCAGGCGGAGGTAGGACAGTGTCTGGAATGGCTGAGGAGCTGTGGTGTAGCAATGTTCCAGGGAACCCAAGAGATTGGGGAGAATGCAGTTGCCTTTAAAAATCACGGACACCTCAAAAGGACAAACGGTGATGAGGACTTAGGGAACAATTAAACACCAAAACTAAATGACAGCTTCCCCTGGCTCATGCAGGAGCAGAGTAAGAACTGAGGGAATCCCACCAAAGAAGAGAGGCTGGGCTCTGGGCAAGCCCTGCAAGGTGGTTATGGTGAAAGGCCCAGATATCTGGGTGCAGTGGCTCATGCCTGTAATCCCAGCACTTTGGGAGGCCGAGGCAGGTGGATCACTTGAAGCCAGAAGTTCAAGACCAGCCTGGCCAACATGGCGAAACCCTGTCTCTACTAAAAATACAAAAAATTAACTGGGTGTGGTGGCATGTGTCTGTAATCCCAGCCACTTGGGAGGCTGAGGCAGGAGAATCGCTTGAACCCGGGGGGCGGAGGTTGCAGTGAGCCAAGATCGTGCCACTGCACACCAGCCTGGGTGACAGAGCAAGACTTTGTCTCAAAAAAAAAAAAAAGAAAAAGAAAAAGGAAAGGCACAGATGGTGAAGTGCAGCTAAGGACTCGTTTCCAAGTGTCCCGCCGTCCCCCAGGGCCTGGCTTATAGGGAGGTTTGCTTTGCTTTCTGGGAGCCAGTGGTGGTTGGATGCCTGGATTTTCGGACCTCCCGCTGCATGTATAACATAAGTTGAAGATTTCTTGTCTTAAAAAGATGATCCAAACCTAACTTTTGAAGTGGCTGAACGAGCTTTGTTTGATACTGAATTTGTTGACTAAAACAAAAATCAAATAGCAACATAAGCCTCTTCCATCTGGAAATTAAATATGTAAGGGGCAGGATATATCCCTGTTGACCACCCTTTTTGTGGTTCTTTTAAACCCAGGTTGGCTCTGCTTTCTTGGGGGAAGTAAAGGCATTCCCTTGCAGACCCAGCAGCCCAGCCCATGTCAGAGAGAAGAGGCTGAGGTCTAGGAATGTGCCAGGCCCCAGGGTGGGCTGGGGAGGGGTGCAGGGATGCTGACTCTTGGCTGGGATGCTGCCTGGCCCTAGGAAGAGCACTCCTTCCTTCATTCACCCAGTGTTCATTGTGCAAGCCCTTCACAATCGAGTTCCAGCTAGTCTACCATTCCATCTTTCCCCTTTACGCTTGCACCCCCTCTAACTATTGCATGTGCCCTGTTTCTGGGTCACTCTTGTCCTATTACCTCTGAGCCTGACTTCGGCTGTTCTCAGTCTTGGGAGTTAGGGATTGTTCACTCCCAGGTTAAATACAGCCTGCACCAAGAAACCCTTCCTGACCACTTCACGCCCCATATACATTAATGACTCTGTGCTCTTGTCCCTCTTGGATGGAATTTCTGGGCCAATGTGTCTTCTCTTGGTGTTTGTGGGTGAGGGTCAAAGAGTGTGTCTGGTCTTCACACATCATGTTGCACACAACAGGGCTCAGTAAAGGTTGAACGAATGCACGCCCACCATTCACTAGGGCATTCGGGAACACAGAGAGGAGGGCGGAACTGGGACCTACCCCTGGGGGCCCAGAAACTCTAGAAGATGCCATCTAGGAAAAGACCCTTGTCAGAGGCATTTTGACCTGCCGTCTTTGCACACAGCAATGAACTGAAGGAGTTGCTTCCAGTGAGTGGAATTCTAAATTCATGCCCGATTCATTCTCAGAAAATTAGGAGGCTAATGCCACGACCAAGTCTTGTTCTACAGAAGAGGAAGTCTAGACAGCAACCTTTTTCCAATAGCTCTTGCTGCATGGAATGAAGCAGTATTTTCCAAACTTTGCTGGCTGTAACCTAGATCAAGAAGTACATCTTAATCTCTACCTCGTACACACATACCCACTGACATGGGAAACAAAGATTCACAAAACAGGACTTATCCTTTCTATGTGGGAGACCCTTGGATATTTTTTTTTCAGTTTCATTTATAAAAATGTTGGGACCAGCAAGTTGATTTCACTGTGTTTTAATGGATCAGGTACTGAGAGTATAAAGATCATTAGGGTCATTGTCAAGGTTTTGGAGTCAGAAGGACCCAGGTTTGAATCCTGGCTTGGGCACCTAGAAGCTGTATGAACTTAGTTAGGCAAGTCATTCCTGCGCTATCATAAAAGCCTCAGTTTCTTCATCTGTAAAATGGGGATGTCATAGAGCCTGCTTCAAGGGGTGACTGTGAGGATTAAATGGGATAGTACAGCTAAAGCTCCTGGTACAGAGTGAATGCTCAGTGAGTGTGAGATTTTGATGCAATTGTGAAGACTGTGGTTGTTATTGTTCTGGCACCACTTGGCGGGGCCAGCAGAATGAGGGTGGGACTCACACTTCCTGGGGAATGGTGGTTATGAAAGACTTCTTGGAGGAGGAGGCACTGAGACAGGGCAGCAGGATGACTGGGTCCCACCACTAACCCCACAGTGAGCAGGAACTCTGCGTGAGCATCCCAGGCCAGAAAAGGCACTCTTCCTTCCATGAAGGGCAGACTTGTTCCCAAGGATTTTTGGCTGGACCTAGAGCTCGCCACGTTGGATGCCTTTGCCTTCCACATTTAGGTCTCTAATCCACCTGGAATTGATTTTTGTGTCTGGTGTGAAGATCCAATTTCTTTTTTCCCCTGTTTCTGAATGGATAACCAGTTACCCCTGCTCTGTTTATTAAAGAGTCCATCCTTTCCTGCTGATTTGTACACCATCTCCTTCATATATCACGGTTCCATATGTGCACGGACCAGGGTCTGGACTGGATTCTGTTTCATTGGCCTATTTATCTACCCCTGTGCCAATACCACCCTGTCTTAATTACTGTAGCTCTGTAGCGATTCCTGATGCCTGGTAAGCCTGTCCCCCTGGCCTTGTTCTTCTCCCTTAGAAGGACCTGGGCTTGCTTTGGGCCTGTGCTCTTCTCCACATGTTTCAGAACCAGCCTTTGATGAATGAGGATCAAAGAGCCCTGGGGAACTCTGGACATGCTGTCCTCAGCACGAATCATCTAGAGCCTGGGCCTGCAGCACCTCCTGGACTCGCTGCTGCCATCACCCCCAGTCAAAACTTTAGCTGCCCAGGAAGTAATCTCTGATTTGAAGGGAAAGACACCAGGAATGTGCCTGAGTCCCAGCCCCTTCTGCCTGCCACCCAGTGGCTCCTTTGGTTTCCCTCCCAGTGGCTCAGTCCTCATCATTTTACTCAGGGTGCCTGCAGCTCCTTCCAGAAGACTGCTTGCTTCTGTGTCCCTCCCTGACAAGGACATAACCCTGGACCAACATGGGTGTGTCCTCCATCAGCAATGCCAGCGTCCTGGAGGAAACTCCCCACATAAAATCTTCACATGCACAAACAAATTTGTTGGCTTAAGTGTTTGCAAATTCCCTCCTCCCTCCCTCCCTTTCTCTCCCTTCCTTCTTTCTTTCCTTCCTTCCTCCCTCCCTCCCTCCCTTTCTCTTTTCCTTCCTTCCTTCCTTCCTTCCTTCCTTCCTTCCTTCCTTCCTTCCACCTCTTTCTTTTTTTTGACAGAGTCTTGCTCTGTCACCCAAGCTGGAGTACAGTGGCATGATCATGGCTCACTGCAGCCTCGATCTCCTGGGCTCAGTCGATCTTCCCGCCTCAGCTTCCCGAGTAGCTGGGACTACAGGTGAAAGCTACCACACCTGGCTAATTTTTGTATTTTCTGTAGAGACAGGGTTTCACCATGTTTCCCAAGGTGGTCTTGAACTCTTAGATTCAAATGATCCACCCGCTTTGGCCTCCCAAAGTGTTGGAATGACATGCGTGAGCCACTGCACCCAGCCGCATATATTTTCTTTACCTGAAAATAGGCCCTGGGGTGGGGTGGGAGGAAGAGACTTGTCACTCATGCTTATAATTTAGTCTATCCTTCAGTTGAAAGATCCAGGTTGGTGCCTTTGCTGCCTTCTCTGGAGACCATTCTGACAGTGGCTTGGATGACAAGGAAATGACTCATTGCAAACTCTGATTTCGTGAAATGGCTTAAAGAAAGGAGCGTGACTCATGGGCTAAATACACATGGTTGGTGTGGACTTGGTAAATTAGATATGTGCACCCTGTGGTTTTCAGCATACAGGTGTTTACCTGCTTCTAGAATTCAAAAACACTTGCCAAATGGTGGCTCAGTTAGTTTGCCATATTGGATTAGGGTGGGAATTCATGGTGACCCACCCCAATTGGTATTCTTCCCTGTTGGTGGTGGGTAAAGCCCTCCTCCCCTTGAGCCTCAGTTTATTCATCTGTGAAATGAGGATTTGGAATGGATGATCTCCCAGATTCCTCTTAACCCTTGTTTCTGTGATTCTACCTTTGTGGTTTAAGAGCACAGAAATCAGAAACCGTTCTTTCCATTCTCTTGGCAAGAAGACACTTATTTCTGCCTTGCTTTTGGTTACGGACCCTCCATCCCTGCACTGAGGAGTGTGGGGTCTCTGGCCAACTGGAGCTGGGTGAGGGCAACATGCAGGCCAGAGGGAGCAAAGTTTGGATTCTTGTGAAGTTGCACTGAGTCCTGCCCACCTCCTCTCCTGGGAAGAATTGTTGATTCTGGACAACTGTCTCGTTCCACCAAGCTGACTCTGCCCTTTCAACACTGGAAGTGTTCATGAGCCCCTTGTGGGCCTTGGCACAGGCATGGACTAACTCAGCTTGGTGGCTGAGCTCAGAACGTGGAGTTGGCATTTGACTAAGGTACTGTGGAGTCTTGGTGCTGAGACGTCTCTGTTTCTTCTTTCAGACCACAGAGTATTCAGCCATGGCCTCGCTGGCTGGTGGGCTGGACGACATGAAGGCCAATCTGGCCAGCCCCACCCCTGCTGACATCGGGAGCAGTGTGCCAGGCCCGCAGTCCTACCCCATTGTGACAGGTGAGGGCACCTGGGGCATGGGGGATGAGTGAGGGAGAGAGAGAGAGATAGGAGTGTGTGGTGGGAAGAGTGGCTTCTTGGTGTGTTTGGATGTGATTGGCCAATTTTGTTTTAACAAGGTTATGAGGCCTGGGAACAGGTCAGGTGCTGGGGCCAGGGTTGCAGCTGTGATGAGACATGGCTGGATATGATTCCAACAAAGCTGGGGAGAACAAATGCCAAATGGACTGTGGGCTGGAGGGGACTTGGGGTAGGGGGCAGGAAACCTCATGCCAGAGGGGCCCCCGTGGGTGGGGCTGAGTGTTCAGAGGCCTAGGGTTTATTTCTTTCATGAGAAAGGCCACCCTGGTGGGCACCAACCTCAAGGAGGAATGGGATTCCTTGCAGATTGATGTTGGCAGGCAGAATCTGAGTCAAGAAGGGTAGGTGGCGTAAGCTGGATGGTGCATGGTGGATGCCAAGCAGCTTCCCTCTGGAAGTCCCAGGGCCAGACTCTTTAGCTGTCTGTGTAGAGATTGGGAGTGTGGGTCCTGGAGGTGCACTGTTGAGTCTGATCATGCCATTTACTAGCTGTGCAGACTTGGGTGAGTCATGTATGCGTTCTGGGCTGTGGCTTTAAGCTGCACAGCGGGACTAGTGCTAGCACCTACCCCAGGGGGCTGTGGTGAGGATTAATTTGTTCGTCTGTGGAAGGTGCTTGGACTCTCGTCTGGCACATGGTAAGCACCCAATACATGTAGCTGTTAGGATTCTTCTGAGAACCCTCTCCCTGTGGCAGGTCACCAAGGGGCTTGCTGACTTGCTGCTGCAGAAGGGCTGGATGCGTGGGCCAGGACGGGGAGACCCCTGGCCCAGCTGTGCTGGGGTAACGTGGAGCCGACTCCATGTGGACAGACTCAGCTGCCAGCTCTTGGTTGTCCAACCGGGCAGGCAGGAGGCCCGCTCGGGTACTGCACAAATAGACAAGGGGCTGGCGGGCCACACTTGGGCCAGAGCCATGGGTCTGGTTTGAGGTAGCAGGATGCCCATGTGGGCTGGTAGGCAGGGCACAGTGAATAGTGACAGTGACACGGGACTCGTAGACATGCAGGTGGACTGTGGGTGCATCAGGGAAGCTGGGTTAGACTCGGATTAGAACAGTGGAGGGGGTCACTTAGGCCAAAGCAGCAAGACAGGGAGGGCCCAGCTCCGAGACCTGGGCTGAAGGGTCAGCACTGAGGCTCAGGCAGAAGAGAGGGGCCCTATTTGCAGCTCTGAGCACCACGTAAGGGCCAGTCAGGTGGCAAGAGCAACTTTGTCCCCCATCCACCTGAGGTGGGCCAAGAGCCTGGAGTGCACCCAGGCCTGAGGTGGGAGACGTTAGCGAGGGGCAGGGAGCCGGGGAGCCCATCTGGAGTAAGCCTTTGCTGACCCCACAGGTGTCCGAGGGGGTCCCCTCCCCTGGTGTCACAAGAATCCATGACAAGACCTCTGAAGGCACTCCCATTTCACAGACACAGAAACCAAGTCTCAGGGAGGGGCGGTGGCTTGCCCAGCATAAGGGGTAAGGGGGAGTTAGAGCTGGCCCTCTGGCTCCTAGATCCTGGGCCCTTTTTCCTCTTTTTCAAGGAACTACAAATAATTATAGAGGTGGGCATGGCAGAGTGCAAAGAAACCTGGATTAGCGAACAATAATAGAAACTGGCACTTCACTGAGCACTTACTGAGAACCAGGCACTGTGCTAAGTGAACTCACTTTATCTTCAGAGGAATCCTGGGAGGTGGGACCGTTATGATCATGTCCATTTCACAAATAGAGAAACTGAGGCTTGGGGCAGTTGAGTGGCTTGTCAAGATCACAGCTGGTGAGCAGTGGAGTTGCAGTTGAATGCCAGGGCCCGTGCTGCTGGCCATGCTGCCACACAGATCAGCTGGAGCTCATCCAGCAAGGTCACTGCCTTGCCGTCTGACTCTGGACACATCTCTGAGCCTCCGTTTCTCCATCTGTAAAAGGGTTCTGGTCTCTCAGGCTCCAGGTAAGGATCAAATGAGATCCCAGAGGAGAGTGTTCTGCAGAAAGGAGGGTTTGTTACTGGGATCAGAGTTTATGAGAAGATTGGGTAGGCAGATCACAAGAAGATGTTATAGGCTTATCTTGGAGACATTGTGGGTTTGGTTCCAGGATACTGCAATAAAGCAAATATCTCAGTAAAGTGAGTCACACACATTTTTTGGTTTCCCAGTGCGTATAAAAGCTATGTCTGGCTGGGCGCAGTGGCTCACGCCTGTAATCCCAGCACTTTGGGAGGCCGAGGCGGGCAGATCACCTGAGGTCAGGGGTTCTAGACCAGCCCGGCCAACATGGTGAAACCCCATCTCTACTAAAAATACAAAATTAGCTGGGTGTGGTGGTGCATGCCTGTAATCCTAGCTACTTGGGAGGCTGAGGCAGGAGAATTGCTTGAACCTGGAAGGCGGAGGTTGCAGTGAGCCAAGATCACGCCATTGCACTCCAGCCTGGGCCACAAGAGCAAAACTCTGTCTCAAAAAAAAAAAAAAAAAAAAAAAAAAAGCTATGTCTATACTATACAGGTTGAGCATCTGAAATGCTCCAATATCTGAAACTTTTTGAGTATGACATGATGCTCACAGGAAATGCTCATTGAGGCATTTCAAATTTTGGATTTTCAGATTAGGAGTTGAACTGGTAAATATAAAGCCAATATTCCAAAATCCAAAGCGATCCAAAATCTGAAACACTTCTGGTCCCACGCATTTTGGATAAGGGATACTCAACCAGTACTGTAGTCTAGTAAGTGTGCATTATGTTTTTTAAAAGACACATACCTTAATTTAAAAATACTTGTTGCTAAAAAATGCTCATAATCATCTGAGCCTTCAGTGAGTCATCTTTTTGCTGGTGGAGGGTCTTGCCTCGATGTTGATGGCTGATGACTGATCAGGACGGTGGTTGCTGAAGATTGGGGTGGCTGTGGCAATTTCTTAAAATAGACAATGATGAAGTTTGCTGCATCAATTGACTCTTCTTTTCATGAAAGATTTCTCTGTAGCATATGATGCTGTTTGATAGCATTTTATCCACCATAGAATTTCTTTCAAAATTGGAGTCAGCTCTCTCAAACCTTGCCACTACCCTACCAACTAAGTTTATGGAATATTCTAAATCCTTTGTTGGCATTTCAACAATGTTCACAGTATCTTCACCAGGAGTAGATTTCATCTTAAGAAACCACTTTCTTTGCTTATCCATAAGAAGCAACTCCTTATTCACTAAAGTTTCATCATGAGATGGCAGCAATTCAGTACATCTTCAGGCTCCACTTCTAATTCTTGTTCTCTCGCTATTTCCACCATATCTGCAATTACTTCCTCCACTGAAGTGAGTCATTTTCAGCCCTCAAAGTCATCCATGAGGGCTGAAATCAACTTCTTCCCAACTCCTGTAAATGTGGATATTTTTACCTTTTCCCATGAATCACGTATATTCTTTTTTTTTTTTTTTTTTTTTTTTTTTTGAGACAGAGTCTCACTCTGTTGCCCAGGCTGGAGTGCAGTGGCATGATCTGGGCTCACTGCAACCTCTGCCTCCCGGGTTCAAGCAATTCTCTGCCTCAGCCTCCCGAGTAGCTGGGATTACAGGCACCCACCACCACACTTGGCTAATTTTTGTATTTTTAGTAGAGACGGAGTTTCACCATCTTGACCAGGATGGTCTTAACTCCTGACCTCATGATCCACCTGCCTCAGCCTCCCAAAGTGCTGGGATTACAGGCGTGAGCCACCGTGCCCAGCCAAATTGTGAATGTTCTTAATGGTATCTTTAATAGTGAATTCTTTCCAGAACGTTTTTAATGTACTTTGCCCAGATCCATCAGAAGAATCACACTTTCTGGCAGATATAGCCTTACAAAATGTATTTCTTAAATAAGACAACGTGAAAGTTGAAATTCTTCCTTGATCCACAGGCCACGGAATGGGTGTTGTGTTAGCAGGCATGAAAACAACATTCATCTCCTTGTACATCTCCATCAGAGCTCTTGGGTGACCAGGTGCATTGTCAATAAGCAGTAATATTTTGAAAAGAATCTTTTTTTTTTTCTGAGCAGTAGGTCTCAATGGTATGCTTAAAATATTCAGTAAACCATGCTGTAAACAGATGTGCTGTTATCCAGGCTTTGTTTTTCCACTTGTAGATCACAGGAAGAGTAGATTTAGTATAATTCTCAAGGACTCAAGAATTTTTGGAATGATATAGGAGCATTGGCTTTAACTTAAAGTCACCAGCTATATTAGCCCCTAACAAGAGAGTCAGACTGTTCTTTGAAGCTTTTGAAGCCAGGCATTGGCTTCTCCTCTCTATCTATGAAAGTCCTAGATGGCATCTTTTTTCAGTATAAGAGTGGTCTATATTGAAAATCTGTTGTTTAGTGTAGTCACCTCCATCAATGATCTTAGCTTGATCTTAGCTTCTACATCAGCACTTGCTGCTTCACCTTGCACCTTTGTGTTATGGAGATGGCTTCTTTCCATAAACCTCATGAACCAATCTCTGCTAGCTTCTAACTTTTCTTCTGCAGCTTCCTTACTTCTCTTAGCCTTCCTAAAATTAAAGAGAGTTAGTGCCTTTCTCTGGATTAGGCTTTTGTTAAAGGGAATGTTGTGGCTGGTTTGATCATCTTCTTCTTCTTTTTTTTGAGGCAGGGTCTCACTGTGTCACCCAGGCTGGAGTGCAGTGGTGCAATCATGGCTCACTGGTCTTGACCTCCTGGACCCAAGCAATTCTCCCACCTCAGCCTACTGAGTAGCAGGGACTACAGGCGTGCACCACCATGCCTGGCTAATTTTTAAATTTTTTGTAGAGACAGGGTTTTTCTATGTTTCCCAGTCTGTTCTCAAACTCCTAGGCTCAAGCAATCCTCCCACCTCTGCCTCCCAAAGTGCTGGGATTACAGGTGTAAGCCACCATGCCCATCCTGGTTTGAGCTTCTATCCAGACCCCTCAAACTTTCTCCATATCAGCAATAAGGCTTATCATTCATGTGTTCACTGGAATGGCACTTTTAATTTCCTTCAACAACTTTTCCTTTGCATTCACAATTTGGCTGTTTGGTGCAAGAGGCTTTGCTTTTGGCCTGTCTCAGTTTTTGACATGCCTTCCTCACTAAGCTTAATCATTTCTAGCTTTTGATTTAAAGTGAGAGATACATGACTCTTCCTTTCACTTGAACACATAGAGGCCATTGTAGGGTTATTGATTGGCCTAATTTCAGTATTGATGTCTCTCAGGGAATAGGGAGGCCCTAGGAGAAGAAGAGAGATGAGGGAACAGCCAATCAGTGATGAGCAGTCAGAACACACACAGCATTTATTGGAAGTTTTCCATCTTATATGGGCACAGTTTGTGGCTCCCTGAAACAATTAGAATAGGAATATCAAAGATCACTGATCACAGATCACCATAACAGATATAATAATAATGAGAAACTGTGAAATGTCGCAAAAATTACCAAAATGTGACCCAGAGACAGGAAGGGAGCGCATGCTGTTGGACAAATGGCACTGATAGATTTGCTTGACACAGGGTTGCCAGAAACCTTCCATTTGTTAAAAAATGCAATATTTGTGAAGTACAATAAAGTGAAACACAGTAAAATGAGGTGTGCTGGGCATCCTGCCATTTATGCACATGCCTCTTTAGGTAGAAAATAATCCTGTAAAAGTTGAGGCTGTGGTTGCCTTTCTGAGAATCTTGTCTACAGAAATGGTCAACTGGTGGCCAGCTGGCCAAAGGGCTAATCTAGCCCACAGACATGTTTAGTTGGGGCTACATAGAGCTTTTTACAAATTTGAGTCAATATTTAGAAAACAAAAGTCTGGATTTGGGGATTCCCTTACAAAAACTGGAAAATTTGGCCACACTGGGTCATATTCCCACATAGTCGTGGTGGTTGGGGTTCAGTAGCAGTAGCTGCTGCCCCTTAAGACAGGTCCCCATGGTCCCCACTCAGTTGCTTCCTTATTTATCTTACAAGCCTGGCAAGAAATTTGAGTTGAACTGATCTAGAAGATTGGTGCTAAGAACCAGCTCAGTGGCTTAGCTGTCCTGGGGTCTGCAGGAGAAGGCTTCTTTGTTAGGCCCAAGCAGGAAGTCTGGGCATGCATTGAGTTTTAAAGTAAACCCTTGACCAAAGACCTGTTTATACTTTGATTTATCCATTTTAAAGTCTCATTATAGAGCAGAAAAAAATATAAACATCCCAGGCCTAAGTCAAAATTATGCTTAATTTAAAAATATTAGAAGTATTCTAATTATCAATATAATATATATTCTTATAAGTAAACAATAGTTAGCTAGAAAACATAATAAAAGAGCTGGGTGCAGTGGCTCGCGCCTGTAATCCCAGCATTTTGGGAGACCAAGGCAGGCGGATCATTTGAGGTCAGGAGTTTGAGATCAGCCTGGTCAACATGGTGAAACCCCGTCTCTACCAAAAATACAAAAATTAGCCAGGCATGGTTGTGCACACCTGTAGTCCCAGGTACTAGGGAGGCTGAGGCACAAGAACCACTTGAACCTAGGAAATGGAGATGGCAATGAGCCGAGATCACGCCACTGCATTCCAGCCTGGATGATGTAATGAGACTCTGTCTCAAAAAAAGAGAAAACATAATAAAAGAGAAGACCCCACTAACTATAACTATAAATATATATATATATATCTCACCTGGGAATAAACTTAAGTTTAAAACTCCCTTAAGGGTCATAATAGAATAAATGAAGAGATGTAGTTTATTCTTGGATAAAAAACTAAATATCATAAAATGCCAACTCCTCCGAAGTAACCTATTAATTCAAAATAATTTCTATCAAAATACCAACAGATTTCTTTTGACTTTATCAAAATGATGCTAAATAATAGACAAATTAATACTCAGTGATAGCTAGAAAAATTTTAACATAGAGAAATGAGTAAAAGTCTTAGCATATTTTAAAATATCTGATAAAGCTACAATAACTAAAACTGTTTGTTACTGAAACTGAAGTAAACAGACGAACAGCATAGAAAATTCAGAAATAGGTCCAAATATACTTGGGCATTCACAAATGCAGCATTTGAAATCAGTAGAAAAAAAGGTAAATCATTTAGTTAATGACGTTGAGACAATTGGGCCTGTTGAATACCTTCCTCACTCTTTATATTAAAATAAGATTCAGGTTGAACAAAACCTTTAAATATCAAAAATGAAGTCATAATAAAACAAACAAAAAAAACCTCAAGGGATTTTTTTTTTTTTTCAATCTCACTTTGTTGTCCAGGCTGGAGTGCAGTGGTGTGATCATGGCTCACTGCAGCCTCAACCTCCTAGTGATCCTCCCACCTTAGCCTCCCAAGCAGCTGGGACCACAGGCATGCACCACTACATCCTGGTAATTTTTTTATTTTTGTAGAGACAGGGTCTCCCTATGTTGCCCAGGCTGGTTTTGAACTCTTGGGCTCAAGTGATTCTCTCACCTTGGCCTCCCAAAGTGCTGGGATTACAGAAGTGAGCAACTGTGCCTGGCCTGGAAATTTTTTTATAATTTTAGAGTGGGAAAAGTCTTTTTTAAACTATATTCTGAATACAAAAGACAAAAGAAATAAATTTAAGTATTAAACATTTAAATCTTTTGTATGTATATGGAAGAACATCCAAAAGACAAAGAACAAAATGAAAAAAAAAGTGTAGAAGACAGATGACAAAAAGCTAATTTCCTCAATATATAAAGAGCTTTTAAAAATGAATAAGTAAAAATCCTTTGCCCATTTTTTTCTACTGACTTTTTTTTCTTAACGTTTCATTCAACCTGAACATCTTTTCATTGGGAAAAAATGCGGATGCCCAGCAGTATATGAAAACGTGTTCACCTGACTTATAACTTTAAAACTGTAAATTAAAACAATCATGAGACACTTAAAAACATCTTAACAAAGATTAAAGTTCAGTGTTGGAGATAGTATGAGAAACTTATCTTTTCACACACTGTTATAAGAGCATACATTGATGCAATCTCTTTGGAAGGGAAACTTGGCAATATTGATCACTTTTCTTTTTTTAGAGCTACACGTACTGGAATGGGATCTATCAAAATTTTAAACGCACATGTTTACTTGCTTGACTCAGAACTTTTATACGTACTTTTAGGAATTTATGTCATAGGTATATTCACATAGATGCACAATGATATCTATATATGTATGATCCTTGCAGAATTATTTATAATGGTAAATAAAAACAGACAACGCAACATCCATCAATAGGAGCTGGTTAAATAAATTATGTCTCTTGCACACAATAAAATACTATGCAGCCACTAAAAAGAATTAAATAGAACTATCTGTACCGATGTAAATAAGTGTCTAAGATATACTTTGAAGTAAATATTAAGTATTTAAGTATTTCATTGATATGAACAATGAAAGTTTTTCATTTCTATGAAAAAATATAAAGGATAGACACACAGATGCATGTGCGTGTGCACACACACACATCAGATGCTTGTATGTGAAGATCCGGTGGGAGAGCTTTGAGCCCTTTCCTCTGCTTTTTGGGGCATTATGGTGCTGTAGCAGGGATGCATTGCAGTCGAGTTCTCCACCCAGTTCCACCCAGCATCCCCTTGGGATAGCATATATTCACAGTGCCCCTTTACTCTCCTGAAATTACATTCATTAAGAATGTAGGTCTGTCTTCACAACTAATTTCAAATAAAATCAAAACAATGCCCTATGAGGTAAATGAGATGAAAGCAAAGTTATGTATAATTAAATAATATGTACTATGATATGTATATGCTCTGTATGTTTAAACTGCAAGACATAATGAAGGTGTCCAGGGCTTTCCCCGTGCACAGAATCACAGTGAATGCAACAGCCCCAGACATAGCCTTACACACAGGTATGGACTAGGGACTAACACTAACTCATCCTGCCAGCGTGATTTTACAAATAGGTGAGGAACCCTTGGCAAAGTTCCAAGTAAAACAAAGTACAAGCTTTGCTCCATTTACACGGTAGTTGCATTCCTAGAAAATTCAGTGTATATTAAAACCATGGAAATTGCAAGTTCACATTTATATGTAAATGAAGTTCAGTTCTAGATTCAAATACTTGTAAACGGATTTCTCACGTACCTGAATGTTTGGCAGGACAGGAGAGTTGTGAAGAATGGAGAAAAAGTCTTCACTGTGTGGGATTCTTGCACTGCAGGGCAGTAACACCCCTCAGGCAGGGAGAAGCCCCCATGGATTTTCAAAACGCCCTCTGGAGGTGCAGTTACCCACCCCATTGAGAACTGTTAAACACCTTGAAGGAATGCCCCCAGGAGCTGTTGGGGGGTGGGGGGCTCTGTTTCACCACACGGCATTCATCTAACTCCACCTGTGTTAGCGGATGTGCTGACATAGTGCAGAGCTCTTCAAGGGACACTCAGAACCTTCCGGCCCCACCTCTCTCCTTTTCCCTCCCCACAAAGCCCAGAGTGCTGTAGGTGCCCAGCTGGATGGTGAGCCCGGCCCAGGGCTCTACCTGGGGTCTGGGGAACAGATGGCTTCTGCGCTGCTCTATCTCAGCCCTCACACTCTGGGCTGCTCAGGGAAGATCTCATTAGAGAGGGATATATATGCCGCATTAAATATTAAGTTAAACACCTGCTCTACCAGCTAGGGCCACAGTTCTGAAACTGCTCACCATTTGCAAACTGGTGACATGGCCAGCCTGTTACTGCACTGTCAGCAGTTTGGGCCTGTCCTGATTGGGACTAATTATCTGCAGGTGTCTCATTGGGCCACAGGCCTGCTGATGGGGGAGCCACTGTGCCTACCTGCCAGAGAGGACAGCGGGTGGGGCACCAGGCTCCCCACTTCTGCTCACCTCTCTACTGGTGAAGGACTTAGCTGGGTCCACCTGACCTTTTGCCTGAGAGAACAAAGGAATGGGGCCAGACTGTATCTTGCTGGCCTTTTTCCCTGAGGAGCATCTCTTTGCATCAGTAAGTTGGCATGTGAGGAGGAGACAGAGAGAGGCCTCCTGTGGGCCAGCAAGTTTGGGAAACACTAGCCTGGTAGGAGACCTGGGCCCTGGGGACTGAGGCTCCCCCTGGGCACTGCCCCTTTTTAGTAGCGGAAATACCCACAAAGACAGACAGAATGGCTGCCAAGTCCCTGAGTCCACCTGCTCTGATTTGCAGTATCCCTCAGGTTCAATGTTTGGAGTCTCAATACCCAAAACTTGGCAGCCAAAGAAAGTCCACCCTCTTCTGGCTTTTAATCTGAGCAACAGCCAAGGGCTGAGGGAAAGAGCACTGGAACAGGAGTCAGAGGAACAGGTTTCTGTCTGGACTTTGCACCTAACTGGTCCTGTCTTTGGACACATTGGTCATCCTCTTCTCTCCAAGCTCATTTCCCTATCTATGAAATAGGGGTGGTAATTCTGCCCCTGCCTCCCTTGGCTGTTTCAAGGATAAAATGAGCCAGTGGGAGGAGGGGGATTAAGAGCCACCGAAGGGGTGTCTGAGTGTATGTGGGCAGTTGTGGAGAAGGAGGCTTGGAGGAGTTTGGGATCCAGCTTTGGCGAGTCCCAGCCTTCCTCAGAGCAGACGTTCTGACCATACCTGGGTAGGGTGGGAGGATCCTGTGGTCCCACTACTCACTTCACAGCTGGGGAGGCTGAGGACAAGAGAGGGAAGTGACCTGCTCAAGGCCACATTTAGTGAGTGAGAGCTGGAGCCCCAGTTCTAGCTCCCCCAGGGCCCTGGCTTCCACAGCCTACTGCCATTATATGATGAAATGGACTAAAAAAATCCCAGTTCAAATTTCCTGAAGGCGTCTCTTTCAGTGTGCAGTTGAGAATGTCAGCAGGGAAGCCAGATTACCAGAGCTGGAAGCCCACTTCACCGTATTCTAGCTGGGTGATCTCAGGCAAGTTACTAATTTCTGGGCCCAAGTTTCCCATCTGTAAAATGGGCCAGCACTAGAGTTTTCTCACAGCTTCTGGCAAGGATTATATGAGCGGACCTTGCAGAGTGCTTAGCACAGTGCTTGGCAGGTGGTAAACACCCCATAAATGGTAGTTATTACTATGTGTCTGGGCTCTTGTCCAGAGTCCCTTATCTCTGCCCTGGGGGCATAAGACAAAGAGACATTTGCCCAGCGACAGCTCTCTACGTGGGGATGCTCTCCGAAGGGTCCTGATCCCGCAGAAATCCTCAGAAGGTGGTGGAGTCTTGGAGACCCCGTCAGGATGTCTGGCTGAAGGGCAGGGGTGGAGAGCTCTGAATTTTTTCCACTTGTTTAGAGTCCCAGTGTCTATCATTGGAAGCAGGGACATCCACTGTGTGTTTGGGGATTTTGGGGAAACAGTAAACACTGCATGGGGTTGCTTTCAGCCTGTGAACCCACGGACTCCAGACCTGGGGCGTCTCAAGGGCTGGGGAGCCCAGGCTGGTTTCGGCTGCGTGGTGGAGACCCTCTGCTGGGCTGAGTGGCTTTGGGGTTTTCCTCCTCAGGAAATATGTTCTGCCTCCTCTGTCACAATCCCCTCTGGCGGGGTGCCAGGCAGCTCTGAACAGCGATTTGTTCATTTTTCCATGGGGCATGCCTCCTTTGACCCATTTTTATGAGCCTTTTTGAGGCTCATGAGATGCAGTGAAATACCTCTTCTCTCAGAGTGAAATCATAATGAATAATGAAAGCAAAAATACAAGAACACCTTATGTATCCAGGCTGCCAAAAGGCGCTGTAAAAAATTACAACAAGAGCTACAGTGCAGGATGATACCCTGCAACTGAGTGTCGGCCACGGGGCCGTCCTCGGAATTCCATGGAAGATGCTGGGCTGGCTATCAGAGTTGTTCTGTGGGCCGGGCGTGTGGCTCATGCCTGTAATTCCAGCACTTCCGGAGGTCAAGGCGGGAGGACCACTTGAGCCCAGGAGTTCGAGACTAGCCTGGGCAACATAGGGAGACCCCCCCGATCTCAAAAAAAAAAAAAGTTGTTTTGTGCATTGGAAAGGAGATAATATCAGTAGTTACAGCTTATTGGGCTCTCGCTCTGTGCCAGGCCGGGAGTACCATGGTGCCCCTGGTGGACAGTCCCTGCCCTCACTGGGCTTACTTGTGGGGCAGAACCAGGCAATTTACAGTAAACACAGAATAAATTTGCAATGTAATTTTACCAGGGCATGTGCTCTGAAGAAAATAAGTGGGAGAGAAGAGAGAGACTCAGGGAGTGGTGCCCAGCTGGGGGGATCTCTGTAAAATGGTGGTGTTTGATCTGAGATCTAAATGTTGAGAAGCTTTGTGGGGAGCTCGGGGAAAGGCATTCTGGCAGAAATTACAGCTTCAGCCTTTTAAATGTACAAATGAATGAACGAATGAATGAATGACATGCATATCCTAAAGGATGAGGCAGGTTTCTCAGTTGTTTCTCTGCTGCCAGCCAGGCTCAGCCCATAAATCAGGCTTCGAGGGCTCTTGGAGTTAGAGGAAAGCATAGAGGTCCGGCGGCCTGACTCTTCACACAGCGCGGGGTCAGTTCCACATCAGGGCTTGGTCACCTCTGGTATTGGGGATTTCACTACCTCAAAGGCGAAGTCTCTTCCAGCGGTATTTACCCAAAGCTGTTCTCAGTTGAAGTGATTTCCTTTCCCACTGTCAGGCCAGAAGCTGAGGTATCTACAAAGTCCAGGCGGGCATCTATGCTTTGAACTCATAGACCAGGCACTGCCCAACACACCCCTTAGCCTGGCGTGTGCCCCCGAGGTCCAGCCCAAAGGTGCTTTGATTTGCATAGAGTTTTTTAAACTTAAAAAAAAATTAGTCCTAACATTTTAACAACCAGAGGAGATACACCCCAATGTCCATCCGTGGAGACCTTGTTATATACAGAATAGCTCATCCACACAATGGAGTGGGAAAGAACGAGGAAGCTCTTTATATCCTCATAGGGGATGTAAATAATGTATCTTTGAGATATATTATTTATGAAAAAAGCAAGGTAAAGAATAGTGTATACAGCATGCTGCCTTTGCGTAAAAAAGGGACAATGGGAATGCATATTTATGTTTGTGAGAATTAAAGAAACTCTGGAAGGGTACTCAGGACTTAACCATGTTTAGGCAGAGGGTGTGGGGAGAACACTTTTTACTGAGCGGTGTTTACATTTTGATTTTTTGAACCTTATCAACATATCGGCTATCAAAAAGTTAAATTTAAAAGTGCCTTAAAAATCAGGAGATTTAACATTAAGAGGGTGGATTGCTTGAGCTGAAGAGTTCAAGACCAGCCTGAGCAACATGGTGAAACCCCGTCTCTACAAAAATCTACAAAAATTAGCTGGATGTGGTGGTGCGTGCCCATAGTCCCAGCTGCTTGGGAGGCTGGGGCAGGAGGATCACCTGAGCCCAGGAGGTCAAGGCTGCAGTGAGCCATGATCGTGCCACTGCACTCCAGCCTGGGCAAAGGATCGAAACCCTATATCTAAAAAAAAAAAAAAAAAAAAAAAATTAAAATGTCTAGCTTCTCTTGGAAAAAAAGTAAGACTCGGCCACCTTGGGTCTACATTCCCAAGTGGCCACACTTGGGGAGAGTTGAGAAGTGGTTGCCCCCTGTAGCTAAAGCAGCAGGCTCCTGTTTACCCCACACCCCACCTGGCAGCTTCATCCACTTACCTTACCTGCTGGCCCCTGTGGGCATTGGGTTTTCAACCCTGTTCTAACCCAGTCACCCCATCCTTCCTGTGTCCTCTTACCTTCATTCCTGCCCAACAGAAACCCCTCTCTCAAGCCAGGAAGGGCAGCCCACAGGCTCTCCAGCCAGCCTTACCTGTCCCTGACTTCAGGCCTCTGCTCAAGCTATTCTACCTGCCTGGGATGGCTTTCCCCAGTATCAGCTCAGTGTGCAAACCACCCGCTGGGAAGGGCCTGGAATAGCGAGTGCAAAGTTCTCAAGAATGTGCAGCAACACAGCGTTTCATCCCAGTGCAATGACATCCGCTCTCTCCAGACTCAATGTTGTGGGCCCTTTGCAGTAGCAGTGGCTGCAGAGTGAAAACTCCATATCCAAATTGGACTCTCCCCAGAGATGCAGGGCTATTTGCATTCCAGAACGATTTGGGGGTGAATTCTATTGAAATTTGAAGTATTTGCTTTTTCACTGGTAAATAGACTCACAATTATAGATTCTTGGATTCCTAGAAACCTAGAATTTTGGAATCTTAGTGTTTGGAAGGCTACTCAGAGGTTCAGAGGTGCCAGAGGTCCGATCATTTTAAAGCCGAAATGAAACTCAAGCATCTTCGTAATTAAAATGCACGTAGAAGAAAAATATGATTTGCTTTCAGGTTAGCACAATGTTCCCAAGAAATATTTGTTGAATAAAATGAATTAATATTTGTGTAAAGTGTAGCATCAATTAAAAAAATAATTTCAGTGGAAAGTACTCCAGTTGTTTCTGACCTTATATTTATAGGATAAAAAATAAATGAAGCTGGACAGCCCTTCTGCTAATGGTCTCATAGATTTTTATACCTGTGAGTGGCTTGGGAGCCGACCCTTCCAAAGAGCCTTCAAGCAGGTCTCTGGGCCTCCAGCATCCAGCCCACCCTGCTGTGATCCATCTTCCTAAAATAGCGATTTCATTAGCTTGTTCTTGTGGTCAGAGATCCCCACTGCCTTGTCATTGTCTGGAGGAGAAAAAGTGCAAAGGATAGCACCTGGGCAATTTGCAGAGCTTCTGCCATTCATCACCCATTCACTCATCTCTCCATTAAAACTGAACTCCTCCTTCATGTCAGACATCAGCCTAGTCTAAGTCCTGAGGGTTTTAGAATTCCTGCCCTCAGCCAACTCACAGTCTGATGGGGGAGGCAAACATGGATACATGTATGCAGCAAAGCAAAACAAAACAAAAATGAAAAAGAAAGAGAAATATTGTGGGAGAAGCCAAGTGCTTTTGACAGCATGAAGGAAGGGACAGTTGCTTCTCTCTGTGGGGTCTGGGGAAGGTTTTATGGGGAAGCAACATCTAAGCTGCTCCAGGGAAGCCATCCACTCTTGGCTTCTCTTTGGTTTAATCTCTCACCATTCTCTTAAAAAAAAAAAAGTCTTCTTTTTTTTTTTTTGAAACAGGGTCTTACCCTGTGGCCCAGGCTGGAGTGCAGCGGTGTGATCATGGCTCACTGTACCCTTGTCCTCCCAGCCTCAAGGGATCCTCCCACCTCAGCCTTTCAAGTAGCTGGGACTACAGGTGCACGCCACTATGCTGGCTAATTTTTGTATTTTTTGTAGAGACAGCGTTTTGCCATGTTGCCCAAGCTGGTCTCAAACTCCTGGGCTCGAGCAATCCTCCCACCTTGACCTCCCAAAGTGAATAATTCCTTTTTAATTGCAAAGTAATACATGTTCACTGTAAAATAAATTCAAATGGCACAGAAGTATGTACAGCAATCTGTCCCCACGTCTCCTCAGTCTATTCCTAATCCATTCTGTAGATGTCATCAGAGTTGGCGATTTGGTATGTGTTCTTCCAGAACCTTTGCTGTGCATAAAGAAACATGTCAGGATGTACACATACAGTTTATTTCCTATAAATGGGTTCAAACTCTCTGCATTGTTGTTTAATTTTTTTAAGGTTATTCATGTTTTAAGGACACCCTAGCTGTCGGTAAGTAAAGAGCTTCCACCCTGTCTGATGAACTGGACGAACCAGCATGGACTTTTTCCCTAGCAGTGTGGCTGAACAGCCCCGATCCTCAGGGCTAGGGGGCGAATCTCTCTCAGTATTTGATACACGGGGCTTCAGACAGAGGTGAACAGGCCCAAGAAGGGCAGAGGACAGGGCACCTTGGCATCCACAGGAGGCCCAGGGCTGTTGGCATAGAGACAGCTGACTTGGAGCCTGGCTATGGCCTCCCCCATGCTATGCGGGGAGGGAGGCTGCCAGGAGGACAAGGGGAAGCCACGGGGAGGAAGCTTTAGTTTAGTGAGAAGAAGCACTTCTGAGCAGTTTGAACTCTCTGAAAGCTGAATAGGCTGCCTCAGGAGATAATAACAATGATAGCTAATGTTTAATAATAAGCATTTGTTATGTACTTTGGTTCATTTAATCTTCTACTCTTTAAAACACAGGCACTATTTTGGTCCCAAGTAATAGTTAAAGAAACCTGTGAGTTCACACAGCTTGTAACTGGAGGTATGGTTTTCTCCTAACTCCTCTACGGTCCTGCTTCCCTTGGTACCAAGCCCCTCAAGCAGAGCCCTTTTCCGCTCACTGTAGCACAGAGAGGCTGGCGCCCACTGGGGTCTGGGAAACTGATCAAACGTGCAGTCCTGTGTGCAGATGCTGGATCAGACTGCCTGGCTTTGAATCCCAGCTCTGCCACTTATGAATTGGTGACCTCGGTTTCTCAACATGTGTGTATGTATGTGTGCACACCTCAGTCTCCTCATCTATAAAATGGGGATAGAACTCACTATGTAGATGAAGTGAGTGGATAACTTGCAAAGCACTAAAAGCCCTGCCTGGGCTTCTTACATGCGGCTTTGAAAATCTGGAGCTCGGGAAAACAACCTGAGTCAGGGAGTCAGACTTAGGGGTCCCCAGCAGAGGGGCTGGTGGGAGAGCTTGCGGGGGGATCTGTCCAGCGTGGAGCAGGCCTGACGGCTGCCTGTCTTGGATGTTCCATTGACCTCCTGCAGTTTCCAGTTGCGGCTGTAACAAATTACCCCAATCCCAGGGGCTAAAACAATGCAAATGTATTATTGTAAAGTTCTGGAGGTCAGAAGTCCTAAAATCAAAGAGTGGTGGGCTGTGTTCCTTCTGGAAGCCCTGGGGTAAAATTCGTTTCCTTGCCTTTTCCAGCTTCTAGAGGACACACAAATTCCTTGGCTCATGGCCCCTTCCTCCATCTTCAAAGCCAGCAGAGTAGCATCTTCTCTCCTCCTTGGCCTCTGCTTCTGCTGCCACATCTTCTGTCTGTGACTCTGACCCCCTTGCCCCTGTTTCTAAAATCTCTTGTGGTTACATTGGGCTCACCTGGGTGATCCACACGCTCTCCACATCGCAAATACCTCAATTTAATCACATCTGCAAAGTCCCTTTTGCCATGTAAGGTCACATAGTCACAGGTTCTGGGAATTAGGATGTAGACATCCTGGGGTGGGGGGTGGATTATTCTTCTGTCTACCACATCTCCAGGGCCAAATATAAAAGCCTCCTTGAGCACCGTGTGTCCTGTAGTTCCCCTGGATGACCCATCATCTGTGAGGGCACTGGGCACCTCTTTTGCTCCGTTTCTGCCTGTTCTTTCTCCACTCTCTCTGTGAGCACTGGCTGGTTCTCACTCTGTCTCCTCCATCTGCCCCAGTGTTGAGATAATTTGTGCCCTCCCTAGAGTCAAGAGACTTTGGAATATAGGTGCTGGATAAACCCTAGGGATCACCAGGTGCAATTCCATCATTGAACAGATGGGGAGGCTGAGACTGAGAACTCAAGTTCTCCCAAAGTCAGACACCTCTGGAGCCCATATCCCTTGACTCCTATTCTAGTGCTCTTTCCTCCATGTGGAACTCAGCCTTTGTCCTTGCAGAGTGGGTCTTTTTTTTCCCTCTCCTATCCTCCTTTCTCAGCCTGGTTGATCCACTGCCCTCTATCTGCCTATCTATGAAGCTGCCCAGTGGAACCTTTATCCAGGCCCGTCTTTTTGCCATCTTTCAACTCAGCCATGCGGAGTCCCTGACTCCAAGCCTTTGGTCTTGCTGGTTCCTGTACTTCGGGTGCTTCTGTCATTTGCCCAGAGGTGGCGGCAGTCTGCTGTGAAAGGGAGAGAGGGGCCTGATTTGGAGTCAGGCTCACAGGTCTTCATCCCAGCTCTGCCATAACTCCTGGTAACTTTGAGAATTCCCTTCCCCTCTCTGAACCTCAGTTTTGCCGTCTGCCCAGTGGGAATTATAAATCCTGGCTCATTCTTCCCTTACGGGACTATGGTGAAGTGCACATGAAAGAAAGTGTGTGACAATGGCCCAGAAGCTGTAAGGGGCTGGGCCCTTTCTTGTGAGCTCATGGAGAGCCGGCCACCTTGACTGTGCCAGGGGTCCGGCCTCCCCGGCAGGAAAGTGAAGATGAGCTGGTCCAGGACTTTGCCTGTGAAAGGATCTCACAACACTGCTGAGGGATTTAAGAACCAGCAGGCCTGACAGTCCCTGCCCATGTGCCTTCAGTGCATGTCTCCTTGGAGCACTCCCCAAGTGCTGCCTCCTCTAGGAAGCCCTCCTCAATTACCCTACAGTCAGAAGTCATATTGCCCTTGATCAGCCCACCATTATGCCTGTTAGCCCATTGTGCCTTGATTTATAATTCTTTGTGTCCAGCCTAACTTTCTTCTTAGTCTACAAGATTCTGAATTGTCTCTGCCTTCTCCAGCACAGCCTAGTATGGGACTTGGAATATAGTATGTACTCAGGAAGTGTTTATTGAATGAATGAATGGATGAATTAATAAACCAACGAGCTGTCTGCTATGATTGGTCGTTACTAATCACGCAGCACTCCACCCTTCTAGGTCATTGTCAAGGTTATTGACATGATTCACACACTCACATACATATCTTTGATTAGCATAAAGTCACATTTGAATTCAAGATATTATCATAATTATTATTTCTTCCCAAATGCATTAGCTTCTACTAGTCTGCTGCCTTTTTTTTTTCTTGGCCAAGTTCACAGCTCAGGAAAAAAATCTCTCTCTAATTTATCTCTATTAGCTTTTATTTTCATTATCTGTGAGGCCATAGAACTTCTACTCCCACCCTGAGATCATCTATAAATGTTTAGTAAGGTTGTTTCTGGCATGAATGCTTAGGGGCACCTGCTGCCTGTCTGGATGAACCCATCCAGAGAAGTGTTTGCCTTTTCAGACCCATTAGTTCCTTTCGTATGCCTCTGTGAACCCAGGTTCAAGATGGGGTCACATGCCCATGTTAAGGATAGTGTGGCCCAGCAGCCTATTTAGGGGGCTGGTGTGTAGGATAGGGGACTAGGGAGCTCTTCCCCCAGAGTTGGTTTCAATCCTGAACAGCTAGAGAGGCAGGCCCAAGCTAGGGTCCCATGAGCCAAGAGTCACCAGCAGGAGTGATAGCTGATGCTCCCATCCACTCCCTCTGCACCATGCATTGTTCTAAGCCCTTGACTTATTAATAGCTTGTCTAATCTGCATAACAACCCTTTGTGGGAGTCACTCTTCTCATCCTCATTTCACTGGTGCAGTAACTGAGGCACAGAGAAGCATAGAAACTTGCTCAAGGTCACACAGCTTGTAAGTGGTGTAGCCAGGTTTTAAATGCCGGCAGTCAGACTCCACAGACCACACACTTGACCTCTAAGCCACACTATTCTCATAAAGCCTGGTGAGTCATGGCAGCCTGGAAGTGTGCCAGAGGAAGTCTGAGTTGGACAGACCCCTATCTGAAGAACAGAGCTGATAGGTGGATTTCAGGCCACGTGTAGGGGCCGGGACTGATGGGGCTTCTTGGGTGATATCTGATTGAAGGGTAGTGGGTTGACTCACCCCTGAAAAGCTGGCATCCCCTTAGGTCAGCCTCCTGCTCAGACAGACCTCATGCAGCCTGACCAGGCCTTAGCAGGTCCTGGGTGAAGGTTTGGTGAGTGGATGGGCAGACACAGCAGGTATGATTGCTCCTTCTTTCTTGGGAAACATGCTGTGTATTCTTTCATGTTCCTGCCTGGGCCAGGCCACCTGGACATGCCCCAGCAGCCTCAGGGCTCTCAGCCCCTGCTGTGCAGCCTCCCAGCCCTCAGGCTGTGTGTTGTCCATTGTGGGGAGCCCTGTGCTTCAAGAAACTCCCCACCTAGACCAAAGCTTTCTTCTGTTCTTTTGCTTTCAAGCAAAAAATAAAAGCATAAGAAAGATAATTGTCATTACTTAAAAACAAATATTTTAGAGATGGGGTCTCACTCTGTTGCCCAGGTTGGTCTCAAATTCCTGGGCTCAAGTGATGCTCCCACCTCAGCCTCCTGAGTAGCCGGGACCACATATGTGAGCCACCCTTCCCAGCCAACTGCTTTTCTTAAACAGACTTTCTTCCTCCTTCCTTGGTCTGGGAGAGAGAAGGCCAAGTGCCAGGGTAAGGA
The DNA here is from genome assembly GCF_000001405.40 of Homo sapiens. NCBI lineage: Eukaryota > Metazoa > Chordata > Mammalia > Primates > Hominidae > Homo > Homo sapiens. The sequence goes on along the minus strand of NC_000009.12, from coordinate 36,903,172 downwards.
TCATGCCACTTAGGTCTGGTTCTCTTCAGGAACAAGTCGTGAAGTCCCCAGTTCTTCACACCTGCACCCCATGGAGTTCCTGCTTTCTTATCCTCCATTGCCCGGCCTGCCTGAGAGGAGGAAGGATGCCAAGTGCTGGTGGTGAGGGGTGGGGAACCTCGGCCCAGGTCCCGGGGCAGGCCAGCAGGTGTGATCCAGGTGACTGGATTTGGGGGAAGGGGAGGGGTGAAGCCAGAGGCTGCACTTAGGGCTCTGGGCAGCTACTCTTTTCTAGCTGGATTGGCAGCCTTATGGGGTCTTTCACAACCACTAATATCAGCCCCGAATGTTATAGTTGCTCAAAAGGTGTTGCCCAAAAGAAAACCATGGTTGGCACAAATAGCCGTCTGTGCCAGTGTGGGTGGGGGTAGATTTCAAACAGATACCTGTGGCTTCATTATTTTAAAATCCGTCTTGTGCTAATGAGGCTGATGGAATAAAAGGCCCTGGTGAAACCCAGCCTAAGGCCATGGAGCCAGGGTGTGGCTTCCCATGCCCCCAACACTCCCCACTCGGATCCTGCAGCCTATTTTGGCCCCTCTCCACCTGGGCTTCAGGGCCTCTCTAAGGGCTGGGCCCATCAGTGGCCTAGTTTCTCTGTGGCCTGAGCACACTTCCAGCAGGGACAGGCTCTGCCCACGGCACCCTCCCGGATGAATCCCTTCTTTGACCTTTGTAATTATTCCTGTTCAATCTTCCTTCGTGTTTTCTTCCTCCTCCCTTTTTGAGGTGCTCAACTCCTGCACTCTCTCCAGTGTATTAAGGATGTGAGTGAAATTGATGACTGGGATGTCTCAGGTCTTTATGATGATGAATGACTTTCACTGCCAAAGCTTTTATTGTCTGTGATTTGGGAAGAAGGGGGAACTGATATATCAAGGCTGCCTGTCAGACCATTTAATACAGTTATAAATCCTGACGTCACTAACTGGTGGTCAGGAGCTGGAGAATTCCACCGCCACCGCTTTGCCGAGCCTTTATGGATTTTCTTCTTTCTCTCACCTTTCTTTGCTTGACTATCACAATTGTGTTTTGGGAGGGGGGATAGGGACAGCTAGATAGTGAATTTAAAAATCACAGGGACACCCTGGTCTAGGGAGGGGATGGGAGCCCTCCCTCACCCTTACTCTAAAAGAAGCAGCAGATAGAAGGCCTTTCATTCTAATGTGAGCAAGGAAATTGTTTGGTGAGACAAGCCCTGAAAGTATGCTAATGCCTTCTTTGCATGTGCACCACTCTCTACAGTTTACTAAGTGATTTTACATCTGTTATTTTTCAGATCCTCCTACCATCTTGGGAGGGCAGCAGGGAAAGACTTGACCCTCGTTTTACAGAAGAGGAAGCTGAGGCTCAGCAAGGCGATGTTCCTTGGCCAGGGTTATGCCACCTGGGCTGGTGACAGGAGCTCCCTGGGGTGAAGCAACAGAGCATCACCATTAGGTGTTTAGGGCGTGGGGTCGGACAGCGCTGGGCTCCAATCCCAGACCCCCCTACCTTTTAGCGGCTGACCCTGGGAAGGACACTTACATTTTCTGATACGCCATTTCCTCACCTGGAAGTGAGGCTAACACTCTCCTCATTGGGTTGTTCTGAGGGTTGTTCTAGGGTTAAATGAAATCATGCACGTGGGTTTCTAAGCTAGGCTCTTGGCTCATCAAAAGTGCTCAGTAAATGTTTTTAAAAGGTGAAATGATAAGGAGAGGCATGTGACAGATGTCACAGGTGCACAACGGGGGCCACTTCCCGAGGCTGGGTGGGAGGGCTTCCTGAGGGAGGTGACACTTGAGCACACGGAAATGAGCAGGAATTAACCAGGCTGGGGAAACAGGTGAGGGAAGAGCATTCCAGGCAGAAGGAACAGCATGATAAAGGATGAGTGAAGAAAGCAGCTGGAGATGAGGGAGGGCCCAGGTCCCTGAGGCTGCCAAAGACCTGGGGGCAGACCTTGCAGGTGCTGGGAGCCCTGAGGAGAGTCGACTCTCCAGGGGAATCTCTGTGGGGTCTTGACAGAGGGTGGAGGTAAGGAGGATGAGACTCGCAGGAAGACCTGACCTGACCCAGGTGGCTGTAAAAGCCCAGGAGAGAACGGATGAGGACCTGAACCCAGGCTGTGGAAAGGGGGATGGAGGAAACATTTTGAGGGGTGGAACTGGCAATAGTCACTTGTGAGGAACAGGTGGGCGGCCATCAACGATGCTCCCCTGGTTGGAGTCTGGGGGACCCGGGAGATAATGGAGCCAGTGGCTGAGATGAAGACCATGGAAGAGGAGCTGGTTTGAATATTTAACTTTGGGGTACCCCAGGGACACTCAGGTGGAATGTGCAGAGGCAGTGGGGGCGGGGTCAGGACTGGGGGCATGGACACAGGTGGTGGGAGGATGTGAGTCACTCAGTTGAGAGCTTTAGACAAGGACGATGGGGAGGAGCAGAGCTGGAGAGGGACTCTGGGAAACCAGGGTGGCTGAGGAGGAGGACGCCATGGAGGAGGACGCCATGGAGAAGCCCGGAGTGGGGGAGTGAGTGGTGATTGACACTCCCGCCACAGATGCGCTCCATCTTGGAGGCTGTAGCAGTCACAGGACTTCACTGTAAACAACAGAATTCTCTCTGGCTTGTTAAGCAGAAAAGGGATTTTCTAAGGATGTTAAGATGCTCAGGGTCTCCAAGAGGGCCACAGAACCAGGTTTGGAGGCTTCCCAGTCAGGCATAAGGCCTGGCCCATGCTGCAGGACTACTCTGTGAAGCGGCCATGCTGTCGCCTGTGGACGCAGACCCTTTGGTTCACACAACCGTCGCTGGACACCGGATGTCACCACTAGGACCTCCGCCTCAGCAGATGGACTCCATGTGGTGCCTGCTTCTTTGTGTCATCAGCTTCTGAATTAAAGACTCACACGCACGTGTCTACTTGGGGGACCCAAAAATATGCCTGCACCCTCACGCAAGGGAGGCTGGGAAATCACGTCTCTGACTTTGGCCTCAAGAAGCCTGAACTCTTAAAGTGGAAAATGCCCCAAACAAAAGAAGGATGTTCGATGATGTCAGGCAGCCAAAAATATTTGAAGATTTAGAGAGTGAGCAGAGAGATCCAAGGTAACAAGGCTGGAAAGAATCCATTGGCTTTGGTAGTTAGGAGGGCCTTGTTCTTCCAGCCAGTTATCTCCCATAGCCCATCCATTTCCACAGGATTTGAGGCAGCATTAAATGAAAGCCCAAGGGAATCTGCACATGGCCAGAAACCACCTGAAGAAAGGACGAAATGGTTGCACTGGATTTGGGATGGGGGTTGTGGCAGTGGAGCCCTGAAGCTCCAGGAAAGCCATAGTGAGGAGAGGAGGCTGGATCAGGAGGCCATGGGGTGGGGGCTGTCCTTCAGGACTTGAGTGACTTGCAGAGGATGCCTGGACTGGGGAAAAAGTAAGGGAGAAGAATGAAGCAAGGACCTGGTGGCCCGGCCCCAACCCTGTAGTCCTGGGGGTTGGCTGGCAGGCATTTCCCTTTGGCTAGCCCTTGGGTAGTTTCTGGGCTTTGGCTGGTGGCTTTTCTCAGTGGAGAGGTTGGAAAGTAACACCGATTGGGCTCAAAAAAAAAGCCTCCTGTCCTTATGGGCACAAAATCCCTAGCACTGAGCGCAGGCTGGGCTCAGAGGAGTGGCCTGGGAGATGTTTTCTGAGTGAAAGAAAGAATGAGCCTAGGCATTTGTTTAGCTTCAGCTCTGCGCCAAACATCGTGATGGGTACCACAGGGAAACAGAAGTGAGCAGGACATAGTACCTGCACCAGAAGGGTTAGGTCTAGTGTCTTCTACTAGACAGCTGTCCCAGCAGTCTGACATGTGCTGGGCTGTGGAGCAGCATGGCTCTGAGAGCACTGAAGAAGGAGCATGGGACTGTGGGGGACAGGACCAGGGCATCTGGGGGGTCTTTCACAGGAGATGATATTGGTGGCATTTGCCTGGCGCCTGCCAGGACTCTGCGGCAACATTTGCTAAGGCATGGAGGCGAGTTGGGGGAAAGCAAGCCATTTAGGGCTGTGGTGCTGGTGGGGGTGCTGGAACCTATACCACCCCAGTAGAGATGCTTGGGAAAAGGCAGGAGGAGAGGGCATGAGGGGTCTGGACTTCATCCAGAGGTGATGGGGAGCCAAGGAGTGCAGGGTCCCATGGATCAGAGGTGGCTGGAGCCAGGCAGGGGTTCAGCTGGGCTGCGGTGGCGATGGGTGTCTGCAGTGCGGCTGGAGTTGGCTGTGGATGACACCCCCAGACTCTGCCCCAGGGGTGTTAGTGGGAGAGGCTGGGCCAGTGGGTGCCAGGATGTCCGGGCCAGGCCTTCTTGCCCAGGGCCGCCCCCAGAGCCTGCTGGGTGCCCTCATTATGCCCCCTCATGTGGCGAGGAGAGCCGGGAGCTGCAATCAAGACGCCGGGTGCCTCCTGCTGGTGTTCGGAGAGCGGGCAAACCACATGAGATCCCATCTCGCGCATAATGTGCATCCGAGGACAAAATTAGATTGAGAAGTAAATGGAGCCGAAAATTTCCAAAGCATTTCCCGTCAAGAAGCTGTTTGATTGCATGTTTTAATTCTCCTAGTCCTCCTGCCCGGTGAGCTTCAATTTGGTGGGGATGGCTGGGGCAGAAGGAGCCTGTGATGGGAGGGGTTGCTGGGGTTCTGGGGCCCGGAGACCAGAGGGAAGAAGAGAGGCCCTTTACACATGTGAATGCAGACCCCACGTGCCTCCTTCTCCAGGTGATGTGGCTCAGACCTCAGACAACCCTGTGAAGATAGTGCCACTAGCCCCAATTTGTAGACAAGAAAACTGAGGAGCAGAAATTAACCTGCCTGAGGCCGCATAAATAATATGCAGTTGGCTGGGCTGGGCTGGCAAGCACTGGCCTGTGGAACTTTAAAACTAAAGCTCGTGCTGAGTTGGATTACACGTTTGAATGTTCTATTTTCTTTCTTTTCTTTTGTTTTAACCAGAAGACTGCCTTGTTCCTCTTTCTCATTCTCTTTCCTTCCCTCTTTCCATCCTCCATTTCCAAACCCAGGAACAAACCATGGGAGGCAGAGCAAGGGGCATGGTTCCCATTTTCAGGATTGTAAAGCAAGGCTCATCGAGGCACAGGCATTTGCTGGTAGCACAGAAGGAAAAAGTTAGAGTCAAATTCTGTGAAGTCGGATTTCTGTGTGTGTTGCCCCTGACCAGTAGGCTCAAGGATGGCTCAGCCCTATCTCCCGGGCTCCAGGGACACGGCTGACTTTGGCCAAGTCTGCAGAGCCCAAGAAGATGCTGGCATTCTTAGATCTACTCACAAAAGAAAGTGTTGTAATTCTCGTCATCAGGGACATGAGCGCCCTGGACTACTGGAAGAAAATTGAGCATCAGTTTCTTGAGCTTGAGAGGTGTTCTGTGAAGACAGAGGGAAGGGCAGGAAAGCAACAGAGAAAACCTGGGAAAGGAAACCTGGATCAGGATCCATGCTGGGTCCAGGACCCAAACCTGGCTGTGCACAGCCCTCTGGGCAAGACCCTGCCCTTGCAGGAGTTTCTTCTTCTCACCTGCAGAATAGGCATTTAGTGATTTTTTTTTTTTAGCAACTGTTAAGGTTTTGTTTTTTTCTTGCTTGTGTGTGTATGTGTGTGTGTGTTTGAAGAAACCTTTATTCAGATGAATCTTCCTGGGAAGCCTGATGTAAACTAGTTAGAAGTGAGGTTCACTGGTTGAAAGAATGGGAGCTCCAGAGGTCCCTGAGGTCCCCCTGGAGGCTCATGGGAACAGATCGACCCCTCCCCCAAACTGGTTGAACTTTAGCATCCTTCGAGCTCCGGTGCTCCCTGATTCCACAGCGGTTTTCCAGCCAGCGTGAAGGCCGCTCACAGTCGCATGTCCTCTGCTAAGCCCAGCTCGGTTCCTACCTCTGGGCCCACAGCCCTCACACCTTACCCACAGCTGCTGCCTGGACCCGAGGAAGCTCAGACTGAGTCCCAGGCACATCTGCCATTCCAGGCTCACAGGAGGCAGCAGTCAGATGCCCACTGCATTGCCCACTCTGCCCCAACTCAGCCCGAATCTCCTTCTAGGTCCTCCTGAAGGAACCCTACACACTGAGGCCCTGTTTCAGTGCCTTCTCCTCCAGAAGGTCTGCAGTCTGACTGCAGGAACCGAATCTCAGATCTGCTCTTTGCTACATGTGAGAGCTTGCGCAGGACCCTTCACCTCTTGGAGCCTCAATTTCCCCATCTATGGACAAATTGAACCCAGGCCTGATTGGCTCTTGTACCTGTCCCCACATGGAGTTCCCTGTTTAGTGGCGTCCCTACCCCTGCACTGTACAAAGCACTTTCACTTCTGTGATCCCATTTGGGGCTCTGATTACCCATGAGGGAGGCAGGGCAGGGGTGATCAATCATGTTTTACAAAGTGGAAACCGAGACCCAGAACCAGCAGTGGCCTGCAAGCAAGAGCCTGAGCTAGGCTGGTGGCTAGCAAAAGCAGCCGGTGATTCTGTGAGATAGTTCGGCCCTGGCACCTGATCTGCTTCTCAGGGAAGGGAGGGCTGGAGAGGGATGGGCTGGCACTTTGGTAGCCTGCAGCACCAGCCTAGCAGCACAATTTAATGCATGTTCTCTGCAGCACATTAATTTGCTGTGCACCCTGGGAGGTGCCTCTGTGGGATGGGCTTGGTTTTCCTTGGCGAGCAGTGCACCTGCTCAGCCTGCCTGTCTCGTATGGGCCTCCTTGCTGCTTGGTTTGAGGAAATAATTGGAGGTGTAGGAGCTGGCGTTACAAAATATCAGCGTTGTCTGTTTGGACTTTCTTGGTTCCAAGCCTGGCACTGTGACATCGACTATCCCGTTGCCCCCTGGACCAGCTGAGGCACTGGTTTAGGATTCGTGATGGGCCTCAGTCCCTTTACAAGAAATCAGAAGCCTATCAGAGGCTTGGATACTTACCTATTGACTTTTTCTTAAAATAATATGAGCTGTCAGCCGGTCCTGGACAAAGGGCAGAGAAGCCGATGACTATGGATTCCTCCTGTCTCTGCAGCATTAGCTGATCTCCCTCTGGTGGGTGGCCTGGGGTTGGGCATCAGGTGCACAGGTGAGGACATTTACAGAGGAGAGGGGACCTGCCCGAGGGCACAGTGAGGAAGTGCGGGGTTTTCTGACTCCTAGTCCAGGGCTGGCTGTACCTCCATGGGCTTTGCACTTGGTCCCCCAGCCCTGAACTTACCCCTTAGCTTCAAAGATCCAGTAGGTCCCTCCCACCATGCCTGATTTCATTGCAAACACATCTTAGATTTGAGCCCCAGGAGGGGCTTTTTGCCCAGTGGAACTTGGTGGTTAAGAGCACAGACTGCTAGGGTTTCTAATCCTAGAAACCCCCAACCTGTCACATTTTCTGCCAGTGCAACCATGGGCAAGTTACTTCACTTCTCTCAGCCTCCATTGCCTCCTCTGTACATTGGTGGCAGTAACAGGCATCAGAGGTAATAACTGACATTTGGGAGCACTTACATGGGCCAGGCGGCTTCCTAAGTGCTTTACATGCATTGAGTCTTGAATCCTTTTAAGCAGTCTAAGGAGGTATCATTATCCCCATTTTATAAATGAGAACACTGAGGTGTAATCTTGCCCAAGGTTATAGAACAACTAGTAATTTTAATCCAAAGAATCTGCTCCAGACCTTTTGCCCTTCACCGCTAGGCTGAGCCTCTTAACAAGGACAATAATAATAGTGATCATTTCTACCTCATACGATTGTTCTGATGACTAAATGAGGTGACGCAAGTAAGGCATTTAGAAGAGTTTCTGGCAAATAGAAAGATCCCAGTGCTGGCCACCATTCTTCATGTACCTCGCATGCATTCGGCGGATTCGGCGGCACACACAGGCATGGGGTGAACCGCTCCAGAGGCCTCCACCTTTGTGCACAGGCCTGCTTCCCTCTGCGCCTCTCGTCTTCCGCATTTAGACCACATGTTTTATTCGGACCCCGGAGCTGGCAGAGGTTTAGCACAAATGAAAGCGTGTGGTAGGGAGGTGCAGCGAGTGTGAGTGGGCCATGGGCACCAGCCTATGTTTGTTCCCAGAGCTGTCTCACTCACTCGGCCCTCGCCACCACTCCATCAGAGAAGGACTGTTGGGGTTCCCCTTCCTCCTCCCTTAGACGAGGAAAGGAAGGCGGGGTCACCTGCCCAAGGTCACACGGCTGGTAAGTGGCAGAGCTGGGATTTGAGCCCTCAGAGCCCATGCTCTTAGCTGTGTGTGTAAGCAGTGGGGAGCCATCGAGGATTTCTGACAGCAGCTCGATGTGAACAGAGCTGTGCTTTCCAAGCCCAATCTGGCTTTGCTTTTGGGATGGCCCGAGGGTGGCTGTGGAGCGCAGGAGGCACGGTTAACAATGGTGGCCTTACTGAGTGTTCACTCTGTGCTGGGCCCTGTGCTAGGGGCCTTACCTGTATTTGTTAATTTAATCCATGTGACAGCACTGTGAGGAAGATAGGATCGTCCTCATTTTATAAATGCAAAACCTGACACACAGAGAGGCGAAATGACTTGCTGGAGATCACATGGCCAGTGAGTGTGGAGCCAGGATCTGAGTGGAGACCACCAGCCCTGTGGCTCTTGTCCCATCGCACACTGCCTACCATCCCACATGGCCCCCTTTACAAAGATTTCACATCCCCAAATCCAGAAGGCCAGTCTGGGGAATGCTATCCTTTCTGTGCTTTCATGTATTTATTCTATTTTTTCATTTAGCCATTATCTTGTTTACATAAAATCTATCTCCCAGGAAGGGAGACTTTCCCAACCATTAGATTTGACAGGTATGTTCTGAATTAGCAGCTCCTACCCAGGGTGGGCAAGAGGTGCTGGGCAAACATGTGATGGGAATACTGCCAGCCCTGGGCAGGAGAACATGGGGTGGCCGCCAAGTTTCGGACCAGCCCCGGGACTCTGTGATTCTGAAACATGAGGCGTCTTTGGATTTGTCTTCCATGTTCACCGGCCAGTTTGGAGATGGCTTGATATAGGCATGTACCAAAACCAGGAGTGGGGGCGTGGCGGGTCTCGATCAGCAACCAACCTCCTGGAGGTCTTTCTGTTGCCTTGCACTGCACAAGGGCTCTCCAGGGAGCCACTCTGGACCCAGATGGACAGTTGGGCTCTCTCCACATGCTAATTATGATTACATAGGTTTGTCAAACACTGGTTTGTCCTATCAGTTTCTTGGATAAGAGGTGCATAATATCATGTTGAAGTGACATACCGTCACCGTCCTCTGATGACAAAGGTTCATCTTTGGGAACCAGCATTACTGAACCTCGCCGATACAGTAGCGAAGGCTCTGCACGTCTGTAAGTGGGCGGCTCATCCTTCCACCAAGTACCCCAGACTATCGCGGCTTGGGCTTCTTATGTCTGATTATATTGTTTTCCTGTCTCTGTCCTTGCTGCTCACCTGCCACCTGTCACTTTTCCTAATGTCAGTTTCCTAGCCATAGAAGTCTCTTTCCTTCCAATTTTGCTGTTTTTAATCTGCTGGGGGCTGGGAAGCCAAGCCACTGAGCTCGTCGGAACTATGTGCAAATGAAAGTGGGCAAAAAGCCTGTCCCTAAGTCCCTCCCAGCCTTCCAGAGTTGGTGCCAGGAAGGATTTAGGGACAGGCTTTGTGCCCACTTTTGGCTACTCATAGCCGGATTGCAGGGGCTGGGATTGTTCATGGTGCATTTCAGATCGGTAGGGCAGGCCACCACAGAGGTCTGGATGCCAGCCTGGGAGAGGCCTGGTGGGGACATGAGCTCTGAGTATGCAACTTGGCCAAGGTGCTGCTGGCATCGTGATGCTGTCCTTGAACGCGAGAAGTTCCTGCCATGACACTGGCCTGAGAGCGGCTGCAGTGGGGGCAGGGGGCAACTGCACTTCATACATCTTGGTTCATTATTATCTCTTCTTCTAGAGTGTGAGTGAGCCCCTTGGGCACGGACTGTGTTTAGTTTTAAGAAAACATTAATTTTAACTCAAAAAGTTAATTTGGAATAAAAAGTAATACACACATGTGGTTAAATATTCAAGCCATACAGAAAAATAGAAAATGAAAAATAAATCTCCCACTCCCAACCTAAGCCCTCCCATCTGTAATCCCTCTCCCCAAAGTTAACAGTGTCTTCTGTATATTTTCAGTAACATTTTAATTCCTCTATCCGCCTCCAGATTTTATCCTCTTTTTACTAGCACAGATGGAATTATACTGTACACAGTGTTCTTCCACACTTGCCTGTTCACTTAGTAGTTTCCCTTGGAGATCGCTCCACAATTTCCACAATCAAATCTACCTCATTGTTTCTCAAAACTGTATAATAAATATTCCACCACAGGCAAGTATCATAATTTATTTATCCCAGCAATAAGGATTGCTGCCTTCCTTCCTTCCCATGAAATATCTTGGTGTATTTTTCTGTGTGTTTCCATAGGTGAAGTCCTAGAAGCTGACTGGTCACAGGGGAGCGTGCATTTTGTATTCTGTGATTCACCTACTGAAACAATCGTGTGTGTGAGGCAGGAGTGACTGGCTCTGAAGTCAGCCTCAGCCTGCATCCAGCTCACCTCTTAAGAGCTGAGTACCTTATCTGCAAACTGGGGATTGTAAAGCTTGATGATATCTCCTGGAGTGGCTGCGGTACTTAAATGAGATAATACATACAAAGTGCTTAGAACAATGCTTGGCGCTAAGAGCTGTGTAAAGGATAGTTGCTGTTGTTTTGGTTGTTATTGTTACTGTTATCATCTTTGCATCCTTTAGAGCACTCAGGACAGTGTTTAGAACTTAGTGTCAGATAATGCATGAATGAGTGAACGAATGAATAAAGTCACGAGCTAGCCCACTTTGCCCTGGGAATCCTTGCGCCATAAATACTGCCTTCCTCCTGTCTCTGGAGCAGTCCCCGTCGTGGCAGGGAGGCCCAGAGCCATCAGTGTGGTAGAGCTGCTTTGCTGCTTTCCTAATTAGAACCCTGACTTTGTCATTTCATTAAGTTGGCTCAACAGTTGCTGGTTCCGGGGGCTGGTGTCATACATGTGCATGGAAATATAGACTGAGTCCCAGTGTCTGCTCTAAAATGCCAGGCAGGTGAAATTCAAACACGCTTCCAAAATTGAAACACAGTATTGGAGTGTGATAGTTCCAGAGATTCCAGGGAGGTGGGTGCGGTCAATTCAGAGGAAGGAGTGAGGAGGGTTAGCAAAGTAAACAGCTCCCTGGTTAGTGGATTCTGAGATTGTCTTCCTGGCTCTACAAATCCAGATTAGATCTTTAGCCAGGGCAATTAGAAGGAGGTCAGTCAGAATTAGTTAAAAGTGGGGATTAGGTAATTTTGGGAAAAGAAATTGAGGGTTACTATTCCTAAGTCAATAACACCACCCAAACTAATGGCTAATAAACCTGTCATTAGGAGCCTGCCAGATCCGCTTTAATGACTGGATACAGCTCATCTGCAATTAGCACATCCATTGTCTGCAGGCAGAGGTAGGCTGTTACATCACCATTCCCACTGCCCTTCCCCTCCGGGTGAAATATTCCCCCTCTGCATCTACCGTCAGCAGCATACCCTCCACTAGTGGCAGGTCTGGACAAAGGGAGACTCCAGAGCAACCCTGTTCAAACTGCCACACATTTCCAACACCAGCTGGAACGAATAAGCCTGGCGGCGTATGCACTACGTGTACACACGCACCGACGTGTGCGTAGCAGGATGAATCCCCGCCCCACGTCCTGGGTATTGAGCTGTTTCTCCCCCTCTCCCTAAGGTGGCACTTGTTCACTGTCATCTGCTTCGGGGTTTGTTGAAAATCTTCAGCTCATGTCATTGTCTTTGGCATTGTTCACCTTTTCCTACAACAGGTGTCAAAATATACTTCAGAAAAAGTTAAAAGCATAACTCTTGTACAAATATAAAGTGAACAATATGTAAAATGAAGTTTTTTTTTGTTTTTTTGGAGATGAAGTTGCGCTCTGTCGCCCAGGCCGGAGTGCAGTGGCGCAATCTCGGCTCACTGCAACCTCCACCTCCCAAGTTCAAGCAATTCTCCTGCCTCAGCCTCCTGAGTAGCTGGGACTACAGGCGTGCACCACCATGCCCAGCTAATTTTTGTATTCTTAGTAGAGATGGGGTTTCGCCATGTTGTACAGGCTGGTCTCAAACTCCTGACCTCAGGTGATCCTCCTGCCTTGGCCTCCCAAAGTTCTGGGATTACAAGTGTGAGCCACTGCGCCCAGCCTAAAATGAAGATTTTATTTCATTTGCAGACTGACCACTCCCATCTCCTTCTGTAAGTGCCTTATGCTTATCCTCCTTTCACTCGGGTTTAATTCAGGGGCTCCAGGAAGTCTGATGCTGTGGGCAAGAGTGTGGAGGCCACAGCGAGCAGGCACTGCCATATCTGTCTCTGTAGGAATTGATACCCACCTTCTTTTCCATCAACATGGGGGTGAAATGATGCCACCGACTTATGGAATGTTACTGTGGAAAAAACCCTCAGAGGCCATCTGTTCCCACTGCTTGAGTATTCAGATAACCAAGGCCCAGAAACCAAGGCCCAGAGAGGGGGTGAAGTTTACCTGAGGTCACACAGCAATCCGTGTTGCCTGGAGTGTGCAGGCTTCCTGGACCTTAGGAGTCCCCAGCAGACAGAGTTGCCAGTTCGCAAAGAGCTCTGCCTTTCCCAGCCAGTTCCCCCATATTCCCTTATAGTTTGGGCCTTGTATGCTAAGATCTCCCTCCTCTGGGCAGGACCTCTTGCCCCAGGGCTGTCAAGGCTGGCAGACCCTCTCGGGCCATCAAGCCATCACCAGGATCCCGCCCCCACCTCTCATCTTGTTCACAATAATTAATGGCTGCTCGATGGCTTGCTTCCTTCTTTCTCTCACTCACACACACAGTCAGGTAGATGGAGGGGGAGTTTGGTTGGTGCCCTATGGTATTCAAAGTGAAGGGTTTTCACACTGTCAGGGTAATGAATTCTGCAAGGGTTTGAAGCGAAGGACTGGGAGGATTTCTGTGTCATGTGTCTGGGAGTGACAACCCCCAGTGGTTAATTACTGCCACACGATGAGAACCGAGCTGGTAGCAAAATGAGATAAGTTCATTATGAGCTAAATTTGAAGTTAATTGGATTCACATTCCCCCCCCCCCCGTTAGTGTACATAGAGAGAGCCTACCTAGAAATGGGCTCTATGAAAAAGAAAAAGAAAAAGTTGCGTCTAAGCAAAAACTGATCAATCAGGCCTGGTTATTTTGTGGAGTTCGTGATGAAGGGCTTTCTGAGACGCTGATGCGAAGAGAAGCATAGTTCCTTCAGAAGAGCAGACCCAATGTCATATGATTAATTTCATCTTGGCAAACGTTTTCTGAGTACCTACTGTGTGCCAGGCCAGTGCAAGGGAAACAGGAATGAGAGCAGTTCTTGATCTCTGGGGACTTCCAGTCTAGAAGCAGGAGAAGGATGGGTGCCCAATGCTGGGGGATTGTGAAGGCATCTGGTGCCAGAACGCCTCCGTTTGGATAAGGGTCCATTTGTGACTAGCTGTGGGAACTTGGGCAGGTGCCTAATCTCGCTGTGTTTTAGTTTCCACATCTGTAAAATGGGGATAACAATAGGGTTCACCTTACAGAGTTTTTGAGGATGAAATGAATCTATATTTACAAAGCAGAGTGAATATTGTTTAGAACACTGCTTAGTGTAGAGCCTTGTCTGGCATACAGTAAATTCTACAAAAATATTAGCTGTTATTGTTATTATTATCAGCCGTGCAACCTTGGGTACATCAACTGCTTGGGAGCCTTCATTTCCTCATTTGTAAAATGGGGATTATAACCGCAACCTTATGGGGTTCTTGTATTGAATGAGGTTAAGACATGGAAGTGCCTGGCCAGGGCCTGGCTTGTGGGAACTCCAAGGAGGCTGGAGCTCTGTGGGTTGACCAGTCACCAAGGGGGCCCAGGTTCAGGGTAAAGGATCATAGACCTCACTTCTCCATGAGAAGAGTAACAAAGAATTTGCAGACATGTTTTAATCCTGTTACAGAGAGTACCATTGTTACACTCCCAATAAATACCCTCTTTTTCCAATTATCAAAGAAAGCCCCATGCTCAGATCGTTGTATTACCTGCCAGAGGTCACACAGCGAGTAAGTGGTGGAGCTAAGATTTGAAGCCAGGCCTGTGTGACTCCAAACTCCACCCCTCCCTGCAAGGCTCAGGGGCCTAGATTTGGCTCTGGAGGCAACGGGGGAGCCTGTGTGAAAGGGAGAGCAGATGTGGGTGGCTTCATGCCCCCTCAAGCCTGCCGCCTGCAGAGCTGCCTGGAGGTCTCCTCCCTGGGGTCAGGTCTGCCCTCTGGATGCCAGGTCTTCCACCAGCGTCAGCCATAGCGTGCCTCTGCCCAGCCTGCCCTCTCCCCAGATGCAGCCTGAGACTTTATATCTTCCCTTCATGTCTTTGCCTGTTGAGCATTTCCCAGCCCCAGCCCTAGGCAATCACGAATCTACCTTTTGTCGGTAGATTTGCCTATCTTGGACATTTGTATGAATATATTCACACAATACATAGTCTTTTGTGACTGGCTTCTTTCACGTAGCATAGTCATTTCAAGTTCATTATGAATGTTGCTACTGTAGTATGTATTGGTATTTCACTCTGTTTTATTGCCAAATATTCCATTGTATGGACATACTACATTTTCGTTATGCATTCATCAATTGATGGATATCTGAGCTGTTTCCACTTTTTGGCTATCATGAATAATGCTGCCACCAACATTTGTGTACAAGTTTTTATGTGGACATACGTTCTTATTTCTCTGGGGTGTACACCTAGGAGTGGGAATTGCTGGGTCACGTGGTAACTCGATGTCTAAGAACTGCCAGACTTTTCCAAAGCAGCTGTACCATTTTACATTCCTACCAGCAGTGTTTGAGGGTTCCGATTTTCCCCATCTTTGCCAATGATTGTGACAATATGTCTTTTTGACTGTGACCTTCCCAGTGGGTATGAAGTGGTGTTTTATTGTGGTTTGGATTTGCATTTCCCTGAGAGCTAATGATGTTGAACATCTTTTCATGTGCTTGTTAGCCATTTCATTTATTCTTCTTTAGACAAATGCCTATTCAGTTGCTTTGCTCATTTTAAAATTGGATTATTTGTCTATTATTGAGCTGCAAGAGTTCTTTATATATTCTAGATACAAGTCCTTTATCAGACATATGATTTGCAAATATTTTCTCCCATTCTATGGGTCATTTTTTCACTTTCTTGGTAGTATCCTTTGAAGCACAAAAGCTTTTAATTTTGATGAAGTCCAGTGTATCTATTTTTTTGTTTGTGTCATATCCAATAAACTATTGCCGAATCCAGGGTCATGGAGATTTATGCCCATATTTCCTTCTAAGAATTTTGTACTTTTAACTCCTACATTTAGGTCTTTGATTCATTTTTGAGTTAATTTTTGTAGTGTGTGTGCATCTGGTTTCAAATCATAGTTAGAAAGTCTTTCTGCACCTGGATTAGAGAGGAATTCACCTGTATTTTCTTCTAGTACTTGTAGAGTTTTATTTTTTTACATTTATTTCTCAGTTCTATTTGTAGTTTATTCTTATATATGGTGGGAAGAGTTGATCTATTTTATCTTTTTTCCCAGATGGCTTTCCAGTTGTCCTAACACCATTTATAAAAAGTCCATATTTGCCCCAGTGATTCGAGATCCTACCTTCATCGTATGCTAGATTTCCATATAATCTATGCATTGGATTATTGGGTCCATAATCCAATATGGATTGGATCTTTTGAGCCTTTGTTTAAATTTTTCATTCTATTCCATTGGTTTTTTCTTCAGGTGCTGGTATCACAATATTAATTATAAAGACTTCATAGAATGTTTTAGCATCTGGGAGGGCTAGTCCCCTCGAGGGGAAACATTTTTAATAATCCTACAATAATAGCATTTAAGTAGAAATCATGAGATCTGAATTGAAGTCCCTGTTCTACCGCTTACTCTGTGACTTTGGGCCAGTCAAAACTCATCCCTGAGCCTCAGTTTCCTCATGTATACAACAGGGGCAGATCCCTGTTCTTCCCCTTCCTCTCAGGATTGCAAAGAGTGAGTTATTTCAAACCAAATGTGTCTCTTCTGGAGGAGTGGCCTTTGTGTTGAGTTTCACTGTTCTGCCTGGACTCCTTGCTGATAGTAAGCAAAGCCAAGTCTTGGTTATTCTCCCTGGTAAGAGAAGGCCACGCATGAGTTAGAAAAGATGTACTTACGTGCCATTAATAGGAGGAATTATGTTAGGAATGCAAATTGATTCATTTTAGTTAGTTATTTGCAAACTTATTATAGGCCATCAATAACATTCAGTGCCATTGCAAATGATACAAATAATTTCTTCCTTGGTTAAAAAAAAATGAAAGAAATGTGTGCTTTGAGGTCATAGCATGTTTAGAAGCATTAAATCTGGTTTCCCATCCCAGTCCAGAGGCTTGAATTAGAGCTAAGAAGGGGGAGTAGCATCTCCTTAGCTGCCTTGTGTTGACAGGTTGTAAACCCCAACCCTGGCGACATGCCTAAGACATGTTAGGGAAGGGACTGAGAAGGTGAAACTGCCTGTGTCCTCCAAGGTCACAGACTCCTCAGCTTGGTGCCGGGAGAGTTCTGATGGGCCTCAGAGCAGATCTGAGGCTTGAATTCATAAGACTGGGTTCCCCAACCAGGCGTGGGGATCAGCCTCTGCCTGGAATTTGATACGTGTTCTTAGAGGTTCCAGGCAGCAAGCTTTTAAGTAGAGAACAGTGATGACATTTATTAAATCTTTGTCAATCAGCAATTGCCACCACATTGCTGCTTAGCAAATGCCCCCCAAACTCAGGTCTTAACACAGTAATCGTTTATTCTTGCTAGTGCACTTGGGGTCGGCTGGGGATTGGCTGCACCAGGCTGGGCTGGGTTCCAGTCACAGTTTGGGTCCATCTCTGCTCCACATGTGCCCCCTCTCCTTGGACCTGCAGGCTAGCCAGGACATATTCTCAGGATAAGGGAGAAGGGCACCCAGCCACACAAGCACACATCAAGCTTCTGCTTGCCGAGTGCTCCCATCCCATTGGCCAGAGCAAGGCACACGGCTGAACCTAAATTTAAGGGTCAGAGGAGGCCACTGTGCTCTAGCAGGAAGAGCTGCAAAGGGTTCCTTTTGTTTTTTCATAAAACTGAATTTATTTGGTTTTAAAAACCAGTTTAATATATGTCCTTCCTACTTTTTGGTGTTAAATTACTATTTCTTTTTCAAGCTGATGGTGGTGAGGGTGGGGTGAAGAATTACCTTCCACACTGTGCCATGCGCTTCTCACACATCTTCCCTCTGCCTCCTTACCACAGCCTTATGAAGAAGGCATGCTTCTGTGTGGTTGCAGAGATGGCACAGGGCAGGGGTGGAGAGGGCAGGCTTGCAAGCCAGACTGGCTGGGTTTGAAACCTTGCTTTTTAATATTCTAGCTGTGTGACTGTGAGCAAGTCACTTAAATGCTCTGTGCCTCAGTTTCCCCCTCAGTAAAATAGGGATCATAGTAGCTCTCTAATAGGGCTATTGTGAGGAATAAGTGAGAATGTGTGTGCCTCACTCACAGTTTACTCTCCGTAAGCGCTGGCTATTATCCTCCCCATTTTATAGATAAGGAAATCGAGGCTCAGAATGACTAAGGGACTCTCTCAAGGTCACACAGCTAATAAGTGGCAAATCAAGGGTGTGAGCCTGGGCAGACTTGACATGCTTCGTCACTGTGCTCTGCTGTCTTCCTTTCTCTGGTGAGCTGCAGCCTCCCCGAGACCTCCCCACACAGTGTCATCAGGTTTATGCTGGGAATTTTGTAAGCTATGAGGTTTCAGTGGAATAATGCTGCTCAACAGCCCATACCAGTGCCTGGAACACTGGAGCAATTCAGGAGGTTGAGAGGACACAGAAAGCTGTCAGCTTCTCTCCCTTCCTTGCAAGGAACAACCCAGGCCCTTTGTTTTCATGGCTAGTCCAAGGAGAGTAAGCACAGCTACAGGTGAAGCCTCTGGTTCTGGGGACTGTGCCTGCGTAAAACTGGAGCCGTGGACAAGGCAAAGGAGCCCCTCTGTGATGGGAACTCGGAGGCAGAGTGATGTGTAGAGTGCATGCGGCCATGTGCCAGCTCCTCTGAGCACATACTGCCATCCTGGTGGGCTGGGAGAGGGGGACCTGAGAATGGAATGAGTCCCCAGCATGGTGGTTGCTCAAGTCCTGCACAAGGCTGGAGTCGACACAGTCCATTACCTGGCTATTTCACCGAAATTTTCCATTGGTTCTAGGAGATGAGCCAATTTTCTTATGATTTCCCAAGCCTAAGATTTATCCAGCTGATTATAATCTTGGGTTTCCCCCTGCCCCCCAGTGCTTATTCCTCTTATGTCTCTGTCTTATCGTATTGTACTGGCTAAAACTTTCAGAACAATTTTCAGTGATAACATTGATAATAGGTTTCCTTGACATGTTCTTGACATTAACAGGAATTCTCTAAGTATCTCACCAATTAAGTATTTTTAAGGTATTAACTTTAGATTTAGTATCAATATAAGAACAAGGAAGTATACTTCAATTCTTATTTACTAAGAGGTATCATAAGGAATTAATATTGAATTTTAGCCAATGCCTTTTCTATATCTTTTATATAATCATATGATTTTCTTCCTTTAATACATTAATATGATGTCCTGAACAGTGCTTTAATATTGAACCATCCTTGCATACATAGAATGAAACTTTTTTGGTCATGGTATATTATTCTTTCTGTAATATTGCCCAATCAGTATGATAGTAGACTTTTTACATGTATATTAACAAATTGTGAGACTAGTCTTTAATTTTTTGTGTGCTGCCTTTGTTAGATTTTTAGATCAGGATTATGCTAGCTTGGAGAAATGAATTGGGAAGATTTCCTTAGTTTTATATATCCTGGGAACAGTTTAATAACTGAGATATGTGTCTCTTGAAGGTTTAAAGAACTTGCCAAAAAGAATAACAAACAAAAACTTTCCCAAGAAGCTAAATGGATGAGGCACTTATTTTTTTTTAAACTTTTTCTATTTCTTCTAAGATTATTGGGATGTTGGTATTCTCTGACTCTTCTTGAATTACTTTTGGCAATTCATATTTTCCTAGAAAATTGTACCTTTTGTTGAGATTTCTACATTCATTCATGTGGAGTGTGTTTCTTTATGTTTTTAAATATCATCTCTGGTTATAATGTCTCCTCATCCTTTATCTTGATTATCTGTGCTTTTTTTTTGAATCTTGATAGATTTGTCTATTTTATTGTTCTTTTCAAATAACAATTATTGGCTGATGTATTGTTGTCTGCTTTTCTGTTTCCTAATTCATTCTTTTCTTTTCTTTTTGTGAATGGAGTCTCACTCTGTCTCTCAGGCTGAAGTGCAGTGGTGCCACCTCAGCTCACTGCAACCTACACCACTTAGGTTCAAGCGATTCTCCTGCCTCAGCCTCCCGAGTAGCTGGGATCACAGGCATGTGCCACGACGCCTGGCTAATTTATATATATATATTTTTTAGTAAAGACAGAGTTTCACCATGTTAGCCAGGCTGGTCTTGAACTCCTGACCTCAGCCTTTCAAAGTGCTGAGATTACAGGCGTGAACCACAGCCTGCCCCTAATTCATTCTTTTCTGTTTTTATTTTGTTGATTCCTTCCTCCTTCTTTCCCTGGGTTCATTTTATAGATTTTTATCTGGCTTCTTGAGTGCTTTGGTGAGGCACTGATCTTCTGAACATTTGCTTTAGGGTTCAAGGTTTTAAAGCATGTGTAACAGCAGCAGAAACTGTTGGGGTTCAGAAATGACCCTGAGAGCAACCCACCGTTGAAGAAAGGATCCACTCCCAGGGGGCAGGGGGGCAGACTGTCAGTCCCAGCCTTGCCTCAGGTCAGCCGAGTATCTTTGGACAAGTTCCCTCCCCTCTCACGATCCTCTTATCCATCCCAGGCAGCCAAGTAGGATGTGAGCACTTGTACCAGGCAGCCTCCTACTGGGCTAATGCCCCCCATCTTTCAGGAGGCAGGTTTGGCAGCACCCCTTATGTGGTCCTGGCCTCTACCCCAACATGCACACCCATCAAAACTGTGCAATTGAATTTTCCTCTGCGTGATGGAGCCAATCAGTGATGGTGACAGTGTCCCAGCTGAGAGACACATGGACACTCTGGACTCATGGTCAGAAGCACAGCAGCCTGAAAGAGCTGGACACTCGCCCATGGGAGTGTGCACGCCTTGAGGGCTGAGGCCTTAACCTCCATGTCCCAGGGCCAGAACAGTGTTTGGCACTGGGAGGTGCTTCCTGCATCTTCACTGAATGAAGAAACAGCTCTAGGCCAAAGGAGGAAAAATTCAGTACTAGGCCAGATATGGGACTATAAGGTTTGAGGCAGATATGCCCCCTGTTCACTGTGGGGGGCTGTTGAGGAGAGGAGAAGGGAGGCATTTGAGCTGGTCTTTGAAGGCAGGTGGTGGCAGGCTGTGTGCAGTTGGAGGAAGGGGGACTTTGTACAAAGGACATAGCAGAAACAACAGTGTGGAGATGGAGAGGTCCCAGCCATTCTTGGGGAGTAGAGAGTAGGGAGAGCTGGCTGGAGTCGGGGCGTGCTGTCACCTGCATTGCCTAGCCTCCCCAAGCAGGGGGTTCTGATTTCCCAGGAACAGGCCACATCCCTGACTCTGTTCTTGCTGAGTGGAGCGAGGGTGGCTGGAGATGTGTGTGCATGAGTGTGTGTGTGTGTGTGTGTGTGTGTGTATGTGTGTTTGTGAGAGCGTGTGAGCGACAGGGGGGAGCTGGGGGCACATTGCCGTTCAGCGTCCAAACGTGACAAATGTGCAGAAGCGTCCAGGGAGCTGTGGACATGAGCGGCTGGCCGCGAAGATGCTCACCCTGTGATTTGTTGCTTTGATTCCTCAGGCCGTGACTTGGCGAGCACGACCCTCCCCGGGTACCCTCCACACGTCCCCCCCGCTGGACAGGGCAGCTACTCAGCACCGACGCTGACAGGGATGGTGCCTGGTGAGTTTGCACTGTCGGCGTCTCCACAGCAGGCAGCGGACGGGGTTTCGGTGGGGGGACATCCCCCCCCAAACAGCCTGGGTGACCTCTACGCTTCTGAGAAGCGGACCTGAATAAATCAGGCAGAGGTCTGCACTCTCTGCAGCTGGGCCTGCAGTGGGCCCTGGACCAGCCAGCAGCGGCACCAGGGAGGACACCGGGGGCGAGGGGAGGGTCTTTGACTGTCACTCAAACAGGCCTTGTTGGCCACGTACAGAGTCTGAACACAGAGGGTGCAGGGGCTGGCTGCAGGTCACCCAGCCGGTGTGGAGCGAGCCTTCTCCCCAACCTTCCCTCCCTCCCGGCCCCCGCCCTCTCTCCCACACAATCGTGTGACACGAACAAGCAGAAGGCGCTGAGGTGCTCGCGGTGGCCTCACTCCTTGGGGTTGAGGATAATGTGTTCAGGACAGACGGGATGTTGGATGGTGGGTTTGTCATTTGATTCTAAACTGAACACCCTGTGGCCGTTGGAACCTGATCCCCCCAGGCCGGTGATTGTCAGTTTAAAACATCTGGAGAGGAGGCTGCCATGTCTCCTTACATTGTGGGGTGGTGTGGGGACAAGCGGTACTGGCTGTCTGGGTGTTAAGGGCATTAGCATAGCAGGAATACCCGAGTATTCTTTCTTGAAAGATGTTTTTAAAAATCAGGAGGAAAATCGGGCCTCCACTGGATGTTGTTACACATCTTTTATGAGTTAGCATTGTCTCCTTTTAAAAATTATTTCTAAAAGTTTTTATTTATTTAATTTAATTTTTAATAGACAAATAGTTCAGTGTATCTATAGGGTACAGTGTGGTGTTTTGACAGTGTATGCATTGTGGAATGATCAAATCAGGCTAATTAACATACCCTTCACCTCAGATGTTCATCATTTCTTTGTAGTGAGAACCATTAAAAACCTCTCTTTTAGCTGTTGGAAATATGCAATGCATTATTACTGACTATAGTCACCATGCTCTCTCTTAGGTAGAGTCATTTACAGGGGGCAACACAGCTTGTTTCAGTGCCTGGGGCTCTAAGGGCCTTATCTCCTCCTAACACACACTCTTGACTGTCTCTGGGCACCTAAAAAAGCCAGACTGGGCCGGGCACAGTGGCTCATGCCTGTAATCCCAGCACCATGGGAGGCAGAGGCAGACAGATCACTTGAGGCCAGGAGTTCGAGACCAGCCTGGCCAACATGGCGAAGCCCTGTCTCTACTAAACAAACAAACAAACAAAATACAAAACTTAGCCAGGTGTGGTGGCATGCACCTGTAATCCCAGCTATTCGGGAGGCTAAGGCATGAGAATTGCTTGAACCCAGAAAGCAGAGGTTACAGTGAGCCAAGATCGTGCCACTGCACTCCAGCCTGGGCGACAGAGCGATACCCTGTCTCAAAAACAATTAATAAAAATAATAATGTAATAAATAAATAGATAAGGGAGCCACCCCTTAGAGGGCCCCACTTTAGCCCTGCTGAAGCCTTGCCCACTCTCCCATGCACTGGGGAGAGCCTGCAGGGCCAAACGGACATAACCACACCCCTCTTTCTAGCTCATGCTGGAGTCCCACCCAAATAGGCCCAAGTCTCTTCCCCCGGGCCATCCTCCTAAAGCCAGCCCATGTCACTGGTGTGTGCATCCCTGGGCCTGAGGCCCGGCTCTCTGTCGAGAGTGTGGACGGAGCTTGGATGTGCGGGCTGGGTGTCCACACATGCGTGTGCAAGGCCCCACGTGGTGATGAGGATCCCAGGGTGGGGAGCTCAGCAGGACGGATCTTAGCTAGGCTGGCTCCCCTATGGCCACATCCTGGCACAGAACGCCCAGAAGGCCCAGAATTCTACATTCGATCCTGGCCTTCCAGGTTGTTTCGAAGATGTATTTAACAAGGTAGGAGGATGGAGCATATTTCATTTAACGATTTGCTAGCTTGATTGATGACTTTTAAATATGAGACACATGGGAAACGGCCTCCGTGTGTACTCTTGTCCTGGGCCTTGCCAATGCCAGGGAGGCCTGCCAGGTTCCTGCCTGCAAAACTTTGGTCTGCTGCAAGGATGGACCTGTGGCAGATCACAGAGGTGGTGGGACACACACCACCCTTCCCCTTGCCCCGCCCCACCGGCTCCTCATTTTCCAACCTTTAGCACGTCCAGGCGGCCTTGGGAGATGGACCCCAAGCCGCGTCCATGGATGGCCCGTCGCATTTATGTAGTGCCTTATAGAACACGGACTTCCCCTGAGTGCTATGACGCAACAGTCCTGCAAGGGGGGCAGGGTTAGGAGAGTAATCCCTGTTTTCCAAAAGGGCCAGAGAAGCCCCGGAGAAGCCAGGGAATTTCCGGGGGGCTGTGCAGCTTGCAGGAGGAGGACTTGAACCCCAGTCTTTGGCCCCTTCTACCTCCCTCCCAGCACTCCCCACACCCAGGGAGGCACTTCTTCCTGTGCCCTGGGCTGCCTGGGTGTGCTCTCTGAATCAGTCAACTCCAGCTTATCTGTGATGACAGAGGGACAGGGACAGCCCCGGAACCTGTTCTGAGAGCATGTCAGTGGTGAAGCTGAGGCCACCCAGCCGGTCCTCTCAGCCCCCCACTGGAAACCCCAAAGAGGCTGAGTTCAGAGAAGCAGCTGAACTTTGCCAAGTTTATCCAAACAGAGCCTGCCCTCTGGCCACCAGGATTCCTCCAGCCCTAATTACCAGGCTCAAGACACAGATGGCTGCAGGCCTGGCAGAGCCTCCAGTGGGAATGGATGGCGACTCTTTGCCCATTAACAGGGCAGCAGGAATCACAGGCCCGAGCAGGGGCACAGCTTCACCAAGCCTGGCAGCAGCTGGACAGGGGCAGCCCCAGGGCCCCATGGGACTCTGTCCTTGGGCACAGAGGAGGGTGCACGAGTGTGGAGGGAGGAAACAAGCACTTCGGCAGAGGAGCCTGCTGCCTGGGAGCCCATGACTTCTTCCTTCTCTCTCTCCCTCCATTCTTTCCTTCTGCATCTCTCTGTCTCCTCTTCCTCCGTCTTTTCCTCTTTCTCCTCTTGCCCCAGCCTCCTTGCTGTCTCTTCTCATGCATCTCCCAGCATTTATTCAGTGCCATGCCTGGCGTCAGGGCTGGGATTCCAAGCTCAGCCGCACAGCCCTTAGTTCCTGTTTCTCAATGGCCAAACAGGGTCAGGTCTTTGGGACTCTTGTTTCCAACAAAATTTCCAAATCTGTTTCTTGGGTGGCCTGTGGACATTGTTTTTGCAGACACTACCCCCGGCACTGTCCCACAGAACAGAGAGGGCCCACCTTTTGGCAGAGCAGGGGCCCTGGGCTGTCAGGCCTCACCGTGGTTGGCCTCAACTTGCCTTTCTGGCCTCCTCTCCCAGCCTCCCCAACCCTGACTGCTGTCTGGTGCCCAGCACACCTTGGACTCTCACCCATCAGTTCCTTCATCATTCTTGAATAGCTTCCCACCTTGACCTGTCAGAATCCAGCAACACCCTTCAGGGCTGAATGCAAACCTCACCTGCTCAGAAAAGCCTTCCCAGATGGCCCCCCCTCTGGGGGAAGATGCTTGTGCCTGGCTCTGCCACATCACATGACCCAACGTGTTCAAGGCACAGCCCCCTACGCCACGTCCATCACTCTCACTGGGACCTTATTAGTCTCTGCACCCTTCATGGCCCCTAACACGTATCAAGTTATCTTTGTGAATGTTGGCTAAGGGAGGGAGGAGAGGGAAATTATATGGACCTGTGTGTTAGTTTCCTGTGGCTACTGTAACAAATCTCCCCAAACCTGGTGGCTTAAAACCACAGAACTGTGTTCTCTTATAGTTCTGGAGCACAGGAGTCTGAAGTCAGTATCACTGGGCCAAAATCAAGGTGTCGCCAGGGCTATGCTCCCTCTGGAGGCCCTGGGGAAAGATCTGTTTCCTTCCTCCTCCAGGTTTTGTGGTTCGTTCCCGGCATTCCCTGGCTGCAGCTGCATTGCTCCAAGGCAGGAGTTTTCAGTGTTTCCCTGCTCCATCTTCAGGTTGCCTTCTACTCTGTGTGTCGAATCTGCCTCTTCTCTGTTATAGGGATACATATGCATTTAGGTCATACCTGGAGGATCCAGGATGATCTCCCCATCGCAAGATCCTTAGTCAATCACATCTGCAAAGACCCCTTTTTTCCTTTCACGGGGAGTCACATTCACAGGTTACATATAAGGAGCCTCCCTATATCAGGCTCCAGGGAGTAGGGCATGGATGTGCCACAACACGCTTGAGAACTTCAACTCAGTGTTTGTTCAGATGCTGATTTGTGACCTCTCGGGCTTCTGAATCCTGAAGGCATCCACTGAATTGTGACGGTGCTGAAGATGATGATGCCATTGCATTGACCCCGAGGGCCTGTTGGCATGTTTGGAGAAACAAGTGAAGCAAGGCTCTGGGACACCTGTGTCTCTTGCTTTTGTCTCTCTGAGGTTGCTATGCTGCAATGATCTGTTTCACTGTGAGATCTGTTTCACTCCCTCCTGGCCTCTGGTGGGCTGGTGGTGCAATCTAGAGGGAATCCCAAAATCTTCGGGGTGTTTTTTCCCCACTGTCGGCTTTAGAAAACATTTAGCTGCCACTACTTTCACTTCTTTTTTCTTTTCATTTTTTAAATGAAGGCATGGTCTCACTCTGGCCGTCGCCCAAGCTGGAGTGCAGTGGTGCGATCTTGGCTCACTGCAGCCTTGACTTCTTGGGCTCAGGTGATCCTCTCACCTCAGCCTCCCGAGTAGCTGGGACTACGGGCACCTGCCACCATGCCACCTAATTTTTGTATTTTTTGTAGAGACGGGTTTTGCCATACTGTCCAGGCTGGTCTCCAACTCCTGAGCTCAAACGATCCTCCTGCCTCAGCTTCCCAAAGTGTTGGGATTACAGGCATGAGCCACTGTGCCCGGCCACCACTTCATTTCCAAGTGAAGGCTTTTATTGTAAATGTGCTTGGAGGACACACAGAGGAAGGCACGCTTGCCTTGGGCTATGCTTCCACAGCCACACTGCAGAGCCTGAAAAAGTGGATGTCATGTTTTTCCTTACTAAATGTCTGCTTGTTAGCTTGGACTCATGTTCAGCTTGATTTCTGATTCCATCATCAGAGTTGTCTGCTCCTTCCGGCTCCAGGGCATCCCCATGTCTGCAAAACATAGCTTCTGGTCTTCTCTAGGGTTTGCAGATTCAGTAAACTCTGCATCACCATTTGCAGAGCAGTTATGTTGAAGAAAGCGAATATAGCATCTTATATCAGCTTAGAAAGGAAACAGTTTTCAAATTTTATTTCCATCAAGTCCCAGAAAATGCCGAAAATTTTGCACCAAAGATTTCATAGTGTCTTGATTGGTGTAACCAGTTGATTCCTGCCTGAAGATATTTTGCAACCTAACATGGTTGCAAATATCTTAACATGGTTGCAGATATCGACATGGCATTTGAAATTCTGACAAATTCTGGGCTAGAGGAAAAAGGAAGGGGAGTTCATTGCCCTTTGGCTTTAGTAAGTCTGAGAAAAAAAGGTTGCTATCTTTGAGGAACCGGTGGGTGCCCCATCCCTCATGGCCCACCAGAACAATGTGCACAAAGGCACTAGGTGGGGTCCCTGTGGGCCTGGGCACTGTACTTGCCATGGATTGATGGACATCATTTCTAGATGCCTTTCAATTGAGGCACTCACTAAACTGATGGCTTTTATTTTCTTAAAGAAGTAGGAGGTGAGGGTGCAGTGTGGAGTGGGGGCCTGAGGCCAGAGGAGAGGTGGGCGCAGCCTTGTGGGCCGGGAAGGCACAGGGTCCACTGAACACCACAGGGGGAGTGAGAGGGGCCTGCTCCTTCCCACCTCAGCACCTGCAACTTCCTCTGCTTAAAGGGCTCAGCCCCTCTCTGCTCGTTGCCCAGCTTGCCTGGTCCCCTCTCACCTATCTGGGTTTCCCTTCCATAGAGAGGCCTTCCCCAGTGACCAAATATATTTGAGTTTCCTGTTGCTGCTGTGACAAATTACCACAAATGAGTGACTTAAAACAACAGACACTTTTCTCCCTCTGATTCTGGAAGTAGGTCTCACTGGGCTGAAGTCAAGGTGTCTGCAGGGCTTGTTTCTTCTGGAGGTGCTAGGAGGGAATGATTTGCTTTCTTGTCCTAGCTTGTTGCTGCTGCCGGCATTCCTTGGCTTTTGGCCCCTTCCTTCCTTGTCGAAACTGGCGATGTTGGGCTGAGTCTTTATCCGGCTGCCCCTCCTTCCTCCCCCATTCACTTAGAGAGCTCTGTGTTTCCCTTGGACCCACCTGGATATCTAGGATAATCTGCCCATGTTCAGGACAGCTAATTTCATTTTATCTGCAACCTAATTCCCCTCTGCCATGTAATCCGACATAATCATGGGTTCTAGGGCTTATGATATGGACATTTTTGGGGGGGGCCACAATTCTGCCTGCCACATACCCTCCGAACCAGGACCCCCTATCATTCCTCTCCCAGAGCTTCCTGCTCTTTTCATGTGCAGCACTAAGCCCAGCTGAAGTCATTTAGTGTGTGGTTTACTCGTTCCCCTCCGGCTTCTCTTCAGGTCTGTATGGTATGTAAGAGCTGTACAATAATCAAGGCTATGTCTGTTTTGTTCACAGTTGTGTCCTTAGTTCCCGGCACAGTGCCTAGCACCTAGTCGCACTCAGGACACAGTAGCTGAAATTAAAATGGAGAACTTTAGGCCGAGCTGCCAAGGAGAGCTTCGCTAGGTTTGCTGTGGCCCTGAGTCTGGGGGCTGGGGTGATGCAACCAAGGAGGCTGGGGCTGACCCAGGGCTGGGAGTGGTAGCGCTGTTAGAGTGGCCGCCACATGGGGAAGCAGTGGGAGGCTGGGTGGTTAAGAGCATGGACCTGAGCCAGACTCCCTGGTTCTGAGTCACAGTCCTGCTTCTCACTAGCTGTGTGACTTGGGGCAAGTTACATAACTCCTCAGGGCCCTGGTTTCCTCCTCGTGTATAAAATGGGGATACTGATAATAAATGTGAGCATTAAGTGATGTAATATACATAAAAGCTCTTAGAATTCTGACTGGCACATATGGAGTGGCACATAAGTGTTCATTATTATTGCTATTATTATTTACACAGGGGCCTGGGCTGGATAGGGCGGTGAACAGAGAAGCCTAGCAGGCATGCTAACGCTCAAATCAAGAGCTCTCCAGCAGAGCTCATACCTCCTGGAGCCTGTGGATCAATGGGAAAGCCAACTAGAGAAGAATCCAGTCAGAAATGAGAGCACTGCCAAGTAGGAGTCAGGCAGTCTCCGAATACAGTGGGTCTGCAGAAAACAGAGAGGCAGCTGTGGTTGGTGCAACTGAGAAAGGCATTCTGGCAAAGGTGGCCCTGGAGCTGGGCTGGGAACCATGTGTGCTTGGCTATCTGGAGAGGAGGATGGGGGCTTTGCGGTAGGGCAGAAGGCTAAGCCTAGTGGCTGGTGTGGGTTCCCAGGGGTGGGAGTCCAGCCCAGGCCAGGCAAGTAGGATTGGCAGGGAGGGGAGCCTGTTGAGTGGAGGCTGATGGCCAGCAAGGTTAGGATCTGAGCTTGGCAACTTTTGGAGGCCAAGCAGACATGCAGATGAGGCCTTCTGCAGACAGGTGCATGAACCCCAGGAGCATGGGGCGAGGGCCAGTCCAGACAGAAATATGCAGATGCCCCAAGAGAAGCGAAGGGTGCTTTGGCAAGAATGTGGCTTCACCATTATTAGCAGTGTGACCACAGAGGAGCTCTGTGACTTCTCGGAGCCTGCCTTGCTACTGTTTGAAACGATGGTTGTGTAGTTACGGAGACACCGCCTGTGTGAGATAGGAAGGGTATTGAGGTTCTGGAGCGGGGAGGAGAAGGTTTCTTTTGTGGTCTGGCAAGCCCACCCCTGATTCTGCGTCTTGCCTGCCCTACAGGCCTGCTCTGTGCAAAGCATGCAGGCTTAGGGGTGGGGGCCGCAGTACCAGGCAGCATCCTGGCCCAGCTCAGCCAGGACCTCTGTGCCATCTGACATGTCATTTCCACTCTCTGGGTCTGGTTAAGCATGTGAAACAGGGAGAAAATATATACTGCCCAGTTCCATAGGCATGGCCGGGAGTAGTGAACAGGATTCAGAGGGCCACCTTTTCCAGCCTTGTATCAAGAACCTTTCCTATGATTAGTACTGAAGACATTGGAATGGGCAGACTTGGGAGGGTCCAGCGGACACTGGTGAGAACTTGGTGGTGGGGATTTGAGCATCAGATGGAGAGAGGACCAGTGCTCTCCAGGCACCTCCGTGACCTAAGCATCAGGCTCAGGGAGCGTTTGCTCAGGGAAAGAACAGCCTTTGTTCTTAACACTAACTTCCCTTGACCCCTGACTTTCTTTCTAAGCTCCTTGCTGGGGCTCCTGGTAGCTCTCTGGCCTGGGCACGCCACCCCTTTGCCAACCTGGCCCTGGCCTCTGGGGTGCACACCTGTTGCTCGTTCCTGACTCTTTGCTGCCCTCTGGTGGCCTCCAGTCACTCTGCCACAGCAGGAACACAGACTTGACCCTGGGGAATCCTAGACACAGCTACGATGAAATGCAGGTGGCCATTCACTTGTTCATTCATTCATTCTCCATACATTTCCTAAGAGACCCTTGGTGCCAATTGTGGGCTAGGGGTGGAGCTGCCGACACAGCCCCTGCCCTCAGGGAGCTCACAGTCTAGTTGGAGAGATGGATATAAAAAAATCCTGATGTGCTAATGTTAAGAGCTAAGACCTAGGAATCTATAAAGTGTGGGGAAATGCAGGTGAGGGGGACCACTGAGTCTGCTGAGGCAATGGGGTGGAGTGGGAGAAATCAGGGAAGACTTCTCAAAGGAGGTCATTTGAGCTGGACCTTGAAGAGTGAGTTTGCCAGTCTGTGAAGCTGGAGGGATATTGTTGGGTAAGGGACCAGTGCGTGAGAAGCCCCAGGGGAACCAGAGAACATGGGCATCAGGGAGGGAGCTGGGAGTGACCAAAGCCTTGTGGGGCTGGTGGGAGATGAGCTGGAAGGGAAGGCTGGATCTAGGGAAGAAGGGTCCCAGTCACACCCACACCTCAGCCCTGGAAACCTCTGGGCATGAGGCTGAGCATCCAATAGCCTTGCAGAGGGCAGGCTCTGCCCAGGCAGATGTGGAGAGCCAGGGTTGCCTGTTGCCTGTGCCCTCATAGGGTGGGGGGACGAGGGGTCTAGAATGAGGTGGTCTGGACAGTCTATGTGACTAAAGCTCCAGGAACCCTGCACGGAAGTGATGCTGGGAGTGAGGAGAAACTGATACACACATGTAGGCTTTCTCAGCTCTTGCCTGCATTTGGGAAGAAAAGAATTACAAAAGCCTCAGAGATGGAAAGGACTCTGGGGACATGAAGGTCCTACTTGAATTTAGGAGACCTAGGTTCTGATTCTAGCTGCCAGATACTCACAGCATGACCTTGAGACATGACCTTGGGACTCCCTGCTCTCTCTTAAAGCAGGAGGCAGGGCCTGGGGAGGCTGGGCTGAATGCACCCCAGGGGGTTTTCTGCTCCTGCCATTCAAGGTTTCTAAGTCAGTGATGTTTATCCCTGCTCATAACAGCTCCTGACCGAACTGGAGGGCTCCCTAAGCCCTGCCACCTCTGTTCTAAGCAAGCAGAAAGTGCTTCCAAGTTCCCTTCAGATCTGGGGCTGTGAATAATAAGACAGTGGCCCTGGGCTGTCATGTATAATCTGGTAATCACTTCCAAGGGCTGGACTGAAGGAGAAGAGCCTGAGGACTTGTTAACCTTACACACTGCTCCCATGTCTCGATCGGGAAGGCCCAGAAACTGCTGGGGCAGGCCAGGGCTGGCTTTTGGGGCTTGTGCACCTGGGAGGAGGGCTCCCAGACTGGAATCTGCAATCTTAGGGTGAGAGAGAGGTAGTAAAGATCACCATCATTTGTTCCATCTTTGAAAGCAAAGTGTCCCTTTTGGGAGCATGGAGATGGGGAGAGAGAATATCCTAGGCTCACAGGTGCTGGGAAACATTCTTATTTCTCACAACCCCATTGCAAGGACAGCTGAGAAGCAGAGTCTCAGCTGGGAGAGTGCCCTGTCCAAAGCCGGTGCTCACTGGCCCGCCTGGGAAGTGTGCAGTGCTGGGGGAGCTCAGAGCCAGGGGCTGAGGACAGCTTTGGTGCTGCTCTGGGCTGAATCTACTTGTTAGATTTCCCCAGTTTCCAGCTCCTTCTGATGGTGGTTGGCAGGCCCCAGATCCAACTGCACCAACCTGGTCATGAGTATGTGAGAACATGTGTTTGGGATCCTGACTTACAATTTCTTCCTGATGTCCTTCTACTAATGGTGTTTCTTAAAAACAAACAACAAACAAAACGACTGGGCTGTGATGGCTTTTTAGGAGATGAAGGGGAATGCTATCAGAATTTGCTTTAGAAGAAACTGAAGCATTTGCGGAAGGGCTAAGCGTTGGGTGGCTGATGCAGGGTCAAGGTGGGCCTGGAGGGCTTAAAGGTTCTCCCAGCCCTGAGAGGTTAGGGGTCCCCCATTAGTGCAGAGAGGAGCCTGGACGTACACAGCCCAAAGTGAGGGTGTCCTGAGGACAGTGGCCTTGCTGAACCTTAGGCCTTCTTATCCTAATTCCTGATGACCAAGTCAGATTCTGACCAGAGACAGAGTGGGCATGAATCCAGGAGATAAACGCCGAGGACTGGACGAGGACTGCAGCCCGGGTATGCACAGGGCCCACGGAGTGGCAGCAGAAGCCATCCTCAGCCCCTGCCACACAGCAGGTGGCAGAGCAGCCTGACGCCAGGCCTGGGGTTTAAGCCACGCTGCTACAGGCACCTCCCAGTAGCACTGCTTGCCAAAAGGCCTGTCAAGAGGGCAGGTGGCAATTCCCTCTGTTTTGTGGTTGAGTCTTGGTTGGGGGCAAACAGGGAGAAAGTACTCTGGGCCTGGCTTACCTGGAGGTAGGATGGGAAGGAGAGGCTGAAGTCCTAGGAGGAGCCTGGGCCAGGCAGCCCCTGCCCTGAGGGCACCCTATGCAGGAGTGTCCAGGGCTCAGACCAGCCCCTTCTTCTACTGGGCAGCAGCAATCTGAGGGGCTTGGGGCCCAATGCACTCCTTCCCTTTTCTTTTACTTTTTATCACATTATTTACGAGTGCGTCTCTACCTCCACCAGACTTGAGCTCCTGGAAGATGAGGTTGGTGTCCCAGCCAAGACTTCCCACAGGATCCTAAATGAAAGTGCAGGGCCCTGGAGAGGCCCTGGGCTAAAGTCCCAGGAGCTTTTTAGGAATCTACAACAATCTGAGGCCCAAACAAAGCTCCTTTTACCTCTAAAATTAAAATAGGAAACTAGAAAACTGACATTAATAAATGTCATAGTAAATGTTTACAAATTGTAACATTGTTGTTAACTTCATTAACTATTAAATTTAGGGCTTACAAAAATTTCATTACATTTAAAAACCATTTTTAGATTAGATTTTGTTCCTTTAAAAGAATTTCTAAGTTTGTGCCTCAGTTGCAGAGTATTCATAGCTAATCATCAATTAGATTACTTGTGGCCAAATAATTTCAAAAGTAAAATTATAAAAATAAGCTTTTTGTGTTTTTAGAGTGAAAAGTATCATTATTATAGGGCATTTAATGCATGATGTGCTGTGGGGTAGAATGGAAAGGGGCCTCCGTGTCCTAGAAGAAGGGGCTTGGGAGAGAGCCTGTTGAAATGTATTGAACATAATAAATAATTGTGGGGCCTTGAGCTGATCAGGTTGCAGTGGCCATCCATCCATCCATCCATTTATCCATCCATCCATCCATCCATCCATCCATCCATCCATCCATTTATCCATCCATCCATCCATCCATCCATTTATCCATCCATCCATCCATCCATCCATTTATCCATCCATCCATCCATCCATTTATCCATCCATCCATCCATCCATCCATTTATCCATCCATCCATCCATCCATTTATCCATCCATCCATCCATTTATCCATCCATCCATCCATCCATTTATCCATCCATCCATCCATCCATCCATCCATCCATCCATCCATTTATCCATCCATCCATCCATTTATCCATCCATCCATCCATCCATCCATTTATCCATCCATCCATCTATTCATCCATCCATCCATCTATTTATCCACCCATCCATCCACTATCGCTTCCTTCCTTTCCTTCTCCCTTCCAACATTTATTGAGCATCTACATGTGCCAGGTAGTAGCCTAAGGATACAAGATCAAAACTCATGACCCTTGTCAGGCAAATCTGTGAGG
This sequence comes from Homo sapiens, assembly GCF_000001405.40. Lineage (NCBI taxonomy): Eukaryota > Metazoa > Chordata > Mammalia > Primates > Hominidae > Homo > Homo sapiens. Next base: position 36,869,669 of record NC_000009.12, on the reverse strand, counting down.
GGCTATGGGGGCCAGTTGTGGTAACAGGCAAGCCCAGGGACTCTGGGAACACAGAGAAGGGGGATGGAGCCTAGACTGGGGATGTCAGACACAGAGGGGCTTGGAATCTCTGTACAGTAGGGCTGGGTGGGAGGCATGTCTGAGGGTGCTTTTGCAGAGAGTTTTGCTAAGATTGAGAAAACACATCAAAGAATAGGGGCACAGCTAAAGCTTTCCAAGACATCCCTGGTGCTGCCCTTAGGGCAGGGGAGGAATCTAGGAAGAGACAATTTTCAGGTTTATTGTTGAGAGAGAAACATATGTTAGCCAGTGGGAGGTGGAGTGAGGAGGGAGAAGATGAGTGTTTCAGGCAGAGCAGGAACAATGAAGACAAAGGTTCTGAGATGTGCTTTGCTCCTGTACTTACTGCAGTCTTTCCGAAACCCAGCTTTAATCTACTGGGGCTGTCAGAGTTTGACTCCCTTCGGCTTGCTGGGATCTGCAGCCCCTGTCTCCAAGACCCTGACAGCTGTCAGTCTTCATCTGGACCAACCGCTGCCTCCAACCCTGAGGGTCACTCCACCTGGGATACTGCTATCCAGAGAACTTCTGGCAGTGTCCGAAGCCCTCAGGGCAGTGAGAGCCAGTGGAGCTTGGCTTCTGCCTTCCAAAAGGAGAGTGTTCTCAAATGGGGCCAAACCACCCATGCCCGTAAGCTCATTCTACCAACAAGCCCCATGCTTCCCCACCCCCAACCTGCATGGTGCTTTAGAGTTATCAAGGGACACACAGCTGTTAGCCCCAGTTGCCATTTGAAAGCATGTTGTGAGGTTGGAGTGAGCATATCCATCTCGGAGGCAGGCTGACTGGGTTCGGGAGGTGGTGTTGCATTGCCAGGGGGATAGCCAGTCAGGGAGCAGCTGGGCTTGGCGCCTGGAACTTAGGGTCTCTGAGCCTCCGGTGTCCATGGAGACTGAGAGGAAATTGAGACTATCTATGGGCTCTGGGGCCAGGGAAGGTGCTCCCTCAGGGACATAGGTGGCCTTCCTAACTCGAGTTCTTTTATGGCCCAGGAAGAGCTCTTCCTGCTGGGATGCTACGGAGCTCACACTTGGAATTCTGGTATATTCCTTTCTCCCTCCCCATCCTCACCTGTCTGTGTTTGACACATGTTCCTAGACCCAAATTTAAGGCTCTCTCTTACAGGAAGCCCCCCACCGCAGTCCCTCATCTCCCCACTGTGTGCACCCCCCGGGCACTGCCCATGGTCTGCCATAGAGACCCCGTGCGCCCGTCTCCTGGCTGCGTCTGAGGTCAGGGCTGCCCGGAATTCCTCTCAGATCCTGGCCCTGCCTGCAGTAGGTGCTGCCTGCAGTAGGTGCTCAGTAGCTGTGGGTGGGATTTATCTGAATACAGCACATGCCCCTCCCCATCTTGCCCGGTCCAGAGTCCAGGGCAAGTTAGGGTCGGACTGTGTAATTAAACAGGGCTTGAGTGCTACTGGCACGCCCCCAGTCCTTCTTCCAATATTTGCTCTGGCTTCTAGCAGGAAGACGCTGAGACAATGGCCCTTGTTACCCTCTGTTTGAGTTATTTATTTTTTTCACTTTTCCCTCCTTCCCCTCTCGGGGGACTTGCCTCTCGCCCTCATCCCTCATGTTTTCCCTTTCACTTGACTGTCACTCTCATTGTCCTCCCGGGGCCGGGAACGCGGGGTGACAGGCAAGGGGAGCCCAACCAGGCTGGGAGGCTGGAAATATAGTCATTAATGGGACCCGCGAAGCCCAGATGTCCTCCCTGAATGCGGGTAATTTGTTTTTAATGAAAAACCATGCGGTGACCCTGAACAAATGAATTTTCTTTATAAGGAGTCTATGTGCAACGGGCACAAATAAAGGGCCCGAAACAGGGAGACTTAAATCCAGGGCTGAAAGAAAGAAAGAAAGGAAGAGAGAAGGAGTGGAAAAGAGAAAGAGAGATAAAAGAGGGAGGAAGGAAAAATGTGAAATGACAACTGTGTTACCATACCCTTCGCCTGAAGAGCAATCCCAGGCCAAAAATGCCTTGGGCATTGTCCTGCCAGGGCAGGGTTTCTGACCGCTGTGGCCATCGTGGGGTCTTGTTCACAATGCTGCTAAGAAGACGAACCCCCACCTGGACGGAGCTTTGCTATTCATGTGCCCCTTTCATGTATAATTGCAGTGGAGCCTCACGGTAGCCCCTTTTACAGAGGTGAAAACTGAGGCTTAAATGGTTTGCTAGCAAGTGGTTCAGTCTAGATGACAAGGGAAGGATTTTGCCAATTTGGAGTGTGACTCTTAGAAACACTGTGTTACAGCCCAGAAATTGCTTTCATTGTGTGATGCAAAAGAAGGGTGTGGCACGAGCAGGTCTAAGCGGGGACACCAGGTGTATACCGAAGAGTCTTGGGTTGAAGCAGTTTCCCATAGCCCCTACAACTTTGCACTGGACCTTTGTGAATGAATAGCTTTTCCATGGGCACTGCGGGTGTGGGGTTCCTGGGTAGAGAAGAACTCCCCAGGAACGAGCCAGACACATTTGGAAAAACAAATGCAAAGAAATTGGAATCTAGCCTTGGGAAGCAGGAGACCAACCAAGGCCCCCCCCCCACCACCCCATCCAGGACATTTTGTAGGCTGTAGAGCTGGCCACTGGGGGCAGCGGCAAAGACATTGATTCAACAGAGGCCCTAGCCGAGGGCCTTGCCTTTGGCTTTGGAGAAATCTGCTCTGCAGGAGAAGCTTTGAAGGCTGTTAGCCCTGTGTAGATTGGGCTGTGCCTGTGTGGAGCGTGTTGTGTGTTCAACGGAGAGGCCGTTGTGTGTTCTGTAGCTGCTTTTCCGTCCATCACTGATGGACAGGGCTGGACTCAACCTTAGAAATCAACCCAGGGCTGTGCAGATGAGGATGAGGAAAGGACTTGTTCAAAGTCATATGGCAAGTCAGAGGGGGAGCCAGGTGGCCCTCTTTCTGCCCTATTGTCCCCACCCCCCTCAGTTCCTCACCGAAGCAATAAAAAAGAAGCTATTTTGTCTCCTGTCCTTGTGCAGAACTGGTATAAAAAGGACGGTTCCTGGATGCCCTGGCTTCTACAGCAACACAAATCGAGACCCCCACCTTCACCCCAACTTTTGTTGTGCTCTTCCTGAATGCAGATCCTCTCCCAGGCCCTGGGACCTGGCCAGCTACAAAAACATCTTCTCTTAAGTCTCAGGCTTCTGTGCCTCAGTGGATCCAGGCAACGGTGGGCTCCCCAGGTCTGGCCGAGGTTGGTCTGAGACCTGCAGGTACGCCGGGGCACAGCTCCCCTACCCAGAGTCAGGTAGCCAGACACAAAGAAATGATTGTTTTCTGTTCCTGGGTTCAGTTTCCCTCTGGAAGCTGTGACCCAGTTAGAAAGTCAGACAGATAGAAAAATCTGACCACGACCCCAACTGAGGTTCTGAAGTCTTGGCTTCTATTTAGGCCTCTGCCTCGAACGCTCCCTGGTGAGGCCCGGCCCGCCCGCGCTTCTTCAGCCACCAGGAGCAGACCTTCCTAGCCGCTGGTTTCCTCCATAATTGATGATTTATTCCCCACTGACTTCCAAAATGGATTTGAGGCACCTTCCTGACCTTTCAATAACATCAGCCCCAACCTGAAATCCCTGTCATAAAACAGGAGGACTGCCAGTGGTTCCCGGTGGGGCAGGAGTGGATGCAGATCCACCCCACCTGCCCGAGGATGGGCAGACTTGCTTTTCACAGCGTGGCACCACTGAGCCGTCCTTTGTGCCCAGCCCTGCTCTGGAGCGACCCACGCTTCACTGCTAGGAGGTGGGAGCTCACTTTTTTGGAAACAGCTCCTGTCTGGATGCATACCAGAGCAGGCTTCCAAAAACATACTTTTAATCAAAAGAAGACTACCAGAAAAACTGGGGCAAATTGTGATTTTGACAGTGGACAATTATAAATACTGGGAGGGGTTACTAGTTGGCAAATAAACTCCGCTAGTGAAGTCTTGGATTAATTATACCACCAGTGAGCTGGCCGTGTGGGGTCTCCTGATTATCTTCATTTGCGGAATATGTTCTGGTCTTCCTCCATTTCTTCCTTCTCTCCCTCTCTCCCCAGCCTCTCCCGCTGCCTTCCCTCCTCTCTTCCCTTCCTCCCTTCTTCCTTGACTCACTTATTCATTCATCAGACAATCCCTGAGTCCCTCCTGGGTGCTGGGCCTAGTTCAAAGAATGGGCACAGAAATGACTGAATGAATTTCTCAAGACCTAGGAGAATCGCCCATGCTACCTGCTCAGATGGAAAGAAACCAGCTTGCATGTGGAGGTTCTGCAGGATTGCTAGGCCCAGGGGCTAGGCAGAGACTACTGGGGGACAAGAGGGCAAGGTGTGGGGAGCTCAGAAGCTGAGGGTTGCTGACTCGATGGATGCTCTGGCCGGGCTCACCCTGGGCCTCCCTGGGAGAACTGAGGGAAGCACCTGGAAATCTTGGTCTCTGAAGTGGGTGCCTGGCCTGTGTTTCCAAATAGGGGGCTCTGTATTTAGGAGTGGGGAGGAGCAGGGAGCTGCCCTGAATGGCTGCCTGCTTTGGAAATTTCTATGCATTTGTAATAACAAAATTACCATAATTTGCTCGTTAACGCAGCTAGATCAGTCAAGCATTGTTCCTTCGCGGGCGGGAAGGCCGCGGTGCCTCTCTCTGCACACTCTCCACACCCCAGCCCGCCTGCCAGCCCGTTAGAGTGCTGGAAATTAGCATGCAAATGGTCCTAATTCGGTGGGCGAGCTGTCAGGCAGCGCCTCTCTGGCCTCGTCTCTGTGAAGGCCCTGACAGCCCGGCTCCGGCGCCGGCCCACCCTCCTCACTCCAGCCAGGAGGGGCTCCGAGGGGCACCTCTAGACTGACAGCTTGGCGGCCTCCCTCCCTCCGTCAGCGCCATCAGCCCTGGCGGCAGGCTCCCAGGGGAGCAGGCAGGGCCTGCCACCATGCTGGCCAGGCCGGAGGAGGCAGGCAGGCCGGTGGGCTGAGGGGGGAGGCTGGCCCACGCTCAGGCCCACCAGCCTTAGCTGGCCTGGGCCGATGGGGGCAGGTGAGGGTGGAGTTGGGGTCCCCTGACTCAGGGTCCGGCTGGGGCACGGGGACCCTCACAGCTGGTGGGTTCTGACAGTGGCCCCATGAGGACTCTGGACAACCTTTTCCCACCTGCACATCCACAAGGATCAAGTTCAAGTCCTGCCCTGCTCCCCACTCGTTGTCTTCCAGTCCTGACTTAACACATTGCTCCTCGCCCTCCCCCATACCTGGACCGTCTCTGTCCAGGTCCACTCCTGGAACTCCTCAGGCTCTAGTGGAGAATTAGGGAGGCTGAGAAGCTGCATGGACCAGGACTTGGCACCTTTGGCCTTAGTCCTGCCTGTAGGTTTACCAGCCTTAGAGGGAAGTCACCTTTCTGTCTCTGTACCTCAGCCTGCACTTTTATGGTCTTTTTCCCAGGGCTCCTGTGAGGAAAAGGGCTTGCTTTGTAGCAGTAGCTGACACCTACTAAGCACTTTTATTGGGGGGGCGGGGGGAGACAGAGTCTCGCTCTGATGCCCAGGCTGGAATGTAGCGGTGCAATCTCGGCTCACTGCAACCTCTGCCTCGTGGGTTCAAGCAATTCTTCTACCTCAGCCTCCCGAGTAGCTGGGACTACAGGCACATGCCACCATGCCCAGCTAATTTTTGTATTTTTAGTAGAGACGGGGTTTCACCATGTTGGCCAGGCTGGTCTTGAGCTCCTGACCTCCTGATCCGCCCACCTTAGCCTCCCAAAGTACTGGGATTGGAGGCGTGAGCCACTGCGCCCGGCCCCTACTGTGCACTTCTATATGCCAGTCCTGCACTAATTGCCTTTCATTCCCCGACCTGCGTGTTTTTTGCAATGCTCCCATTAGGCTGCTGTTGATGTTATCCCATTTCACAGAGTAGGAAGTGGAGGCATCGGCTTGCACAGAGTAACTTGCCCAAGTGATAGTACCAAGATAGAGCCTAGTAGGCTCACTGGTTCTAGAGCCCTTTTAACAAGAGAAAACACAGGGGCCTGAGAGCTGGAGCCTGCCTCTGCCTGGCAATGTGCCCTAGAGCATGTTCCTGAACTGTGCTGGGCCTCGGCTTCTGCATTGGTGAAAGGCATGATGACATCACCTGACAGATGATTTGTGCCCCTCATAGTACCCGGCACATCACTGACACTAAATAAATGTAAGTTGAGGCCAGGCACAGTGGCTCACACCTGTAATCCCAGCACTCGGGGAGGCCGAGGCGGGAGGCTCGTGTGAGACCAGGAGTTTGAGGCTGCAGTGAGCTATGCTGGTGCCACTGCACTCCAGCCTGGGCGACAGAGTGAGACCCTGTTTCTAAAAAATAAAAGAATAAAATAAATACAGATTGAAAAAAAGAACCCAGGCGGGTCTGTCTTTGAAGATCCATTGGACTTATCCTTACGTTTTTCTCCTGATCTGTGACAGCAGTGTGAAGCAGCTACCGCAGGAGGGAGAGATCATGCAATAGGGTTTGTCTTAAAGTTTCCCCTGGGCTGTCCCCAGGCTGTTTCTCAGCACCTTGTTCCTTCCTTCTCTTGAGCAGATGAAGCCCCACGCCAGGACTTAGGGTTTGGTGGCTGTAGAGCAGGCTGGACCTCAGTCCCCACTTGTCCAGTCAGCCGGTGACTCTGGTGCAATGAACAACCTGCCCTTCCCTGCGTGCCTGCCCTGCCTGCCCCCTTGGTCTGTTTTAAGGGCATCTTATTGGGCCTTTTTAACCTTCAGATAAATGGAGAGGCGAAAGAGACCCTGAGAGTAGGTGGGAGCTCATGAGCCTGAGTTTCTGCCGCATTGGAGGACCACCTGCTCCCAGCATACAGACTGGCACAGGGCAGATGCCCAGTGAACATGTAAGGAGCCACCTTAAAGAACCTGTGGGCCAAGACGGGAAACAGGCACGCAAACCTGGGCAGGGCTGAACCCAAAGCCGCCCACCTACCTGCTTCAGACCAAACGCCCCCAGCCAGGGGTGGCTTCTCTTTCCTATGTTGCTTTTCCTTTCCATCTTCTTTTTGGTTTGTTTATTGGGGGTCATAGCATGATGGATCCACGTGCCAGCCTCTCAAATCGCTGCTGTTGGGCTGTGTGGAACATCTTTTGGAGAGAACATGATCTGCCAACCACAGGATCTGAAGCAGCATGAGGACCTCTCAGGGGCGCATCTATTCCCACCCCAGAACGCGGTGCTGGGGACTTCTGAAATAGGAAGGCCGGACTGCTGCCTGCGAAGTTCATTGCTGCGGGCGGGAGAATTGACCAGGCTCCCCCTTGTGGAGAATCGGGATGCATCGTCCTCCTGCATTCCTGGTGTGTGGCCAGACAGGACTCCGCACCCACACCCCTCCTCAGTTTACCCAGAGCTTCCACACCCATCTTCTCTTAGAATCCTCACCACAACCCCGTAGGGACCCATTTTTATGGCTTTTGTGACAGGCTTAGCGAGAGGTAGAGAGGCCCAAGATCATGCAGAGCCAGGACTAGAATTCAGCATGCTTTCCCTCTACCAGCTGCCTCCACACACCTGGCCCCGCTCCGTGAGTGCCCTTGGCTTTGGCCAGCTGACCCTCTGCTTGCATAGCCACATGGCCTGGCCCTTCCCAGTCTTGTGGCATTAGGATAGAAAGGGCCAGAGGTGTCCACTCAGTGGGAAGGTCAGTCTTACAGTAAATCCTTGCAACAGCCTCTTTCCTGGTCTCCCCATTGCCAGTCATGACCCTTTAGTCTATTCACAACAACGTGGCTGCAGTGAGCCTGTGAAAATTGGAGTCAGGACACGTCCCTCCTGTGCACACTCAGAGTAGAGGCCAAAGTCCTGACCTATCTCCCACTCCCCACTTCCCTCCCTGGCCTTCTCTCCCCTCTCCCCACCCTGGCTTCTCTCCAGCCACATAGGCCTCCTGGCTGTCCTAGCCACACACCTCCCACACTCCTGCCCCAGGGCCTTTGCACTTGCTGTTCCTTCTGCTTAGAGGGCCCTTCCCACAGATATTCATATGGCAAACTCTTGCTACCTTCATTCTTTCTTCAAAAGTCACCTTTTCAGTGGAGTCATCCCCGGTCACTCCATCTAAAATTCCACCTCCTCCCAATATTTCTTATTCTGTCTCCTGCTTCATGTTTTCTCTTTAGCACCCATCATTATCTAGCATGCCGGACGCTTTGTTTTTACTTGTCTGGTTTACTGTTTTGTTTGTACCACTGGAATATAAGCTCCATGAGGGCAGGGACTGTTATCTGCTTTGTTCAGGGCTATATCCTCAGGACCTGGTACCTAGTAGGCCCTCAATCAGTATCTGATAGATGAATGGATGGATGAAATTGCGACTGTCTGCAGTGGGCCTGGTACCTAGTAGGCCCTCACTCAATATCTGATAGATGAATGGATGGATGAAATTGCGACTGTCTGCAGTGGACCTGGTGTCAAGGCAGATGCCACCAGGGCTCCTCAGGACATCTCTGGGCCCCTCCCACTGAGCCCTGCATTTGCCCTCTTAGGTGGTTTCTTCACTTATCTTTCCTTGGCCTCCCAAGATATCTTTCCTCCCCTCCTCTTCCCTCCCCTCCCCTCCTGCTGACTCCCTCCCTGCAGAGCCATCTCTCAGCCAGGTGTGTGGGCTGGTCACAGGGGATACATATGAAAGTGTAAATCTCCTAGAAAAAAATGGGTCTTCATCAGCACAGGACTGCATGGGGCTCCTGCCTTCTGGTCCAGCCTTGGGAGCTGTGAGGGTCATCCTAATTCAGCTCCCTCCATGGAATGGCCCTGTCAAGCTCACTGAGTCATGGTGGCGGCTGCCTTGTGGCCTGCCTGGAGTCTCCCATAGAAGCCAGCCCTTCTCAGTGGTTAGCTTATGGTGGCTGCCTGCTTAGAAGCCAGTCTCCTTAGGGGCCCCATTTCAGAGGCCGTGGGAACTGGACACCAGCATGCCTCTGAGGACGCTAGCGAAACTCTTTAACAAGGATCAGTGCTTCTCAAGCTTTATTGCACCCAAATCATCAGGGATCATCTCAGAGAGCAGATTCTGCTTCATAGAGTTGAGGGTGGGTGCAGGAGGCTTGTCCTCTAACATGCTGCACACTGAGTACCGAGTCCCTGCCCCCTGTCTCTCAAACTTGCTGTACATTGGCGTCACCTTGGAAGTTTCGACAAATATTACCATCTGCCTCCCCCCGCTTACTCCGAGCTCCCTGTGAACTAGTATGAGATATGGCCTGGTCATCTGGATTTTTAAAGCTTCCCAGATGATTTTTTTTTCTTTTTTGAGACAGTCTTGCTCTGTCACCCAGGCTGGAGTGCAGTGGTGCAATCTTGGCTCACTGCAACTTCTGCCTCCTGGGTTCAAGTGATTCTCCTCCCTCAGCCTCCTGAGTAGCTGGGATTACAGGCATGTGCCACCACGCCCGGCTAATTTTTCTATTTTTAGTAGAGATAGGATTTCACCATGTTGGTCAGGCTGGTCTCGAACTCCTGACCTCGTGATCTACCCGCCTCAGCCTCCCAGAATGCTGGAATTACAGGTGTGAGCCACTATGCCCGGCCCCCAGATGATTTTTTTTTTTTTGAGACAGAGCCTCACTCTGTCACCCAGGCTTGAGTGCAGTGGCGTGATCTCAGCTAACTGCAAGCTCCACCTCCCGGGTTCACACCATTCTCCTGCCTCAGCCTCCTGAGTAGCTGGGACTACAGGTGCCCACCACCATGCCTGGCTAATTTTTTTGTATTTTTAGTAGAGGTGGGGTTTCACCGTGTTAGCCAGGATGGTCTCGATCTCCTGACCTCGTGATCCACCTACCTCGGCCTCCCAAAGTGCTGGGATTACAGGTGTGAACCACTACACCCAGCCCCAGATGATTCTTAATGTGCAGCAAGGCTTGACAGCCACTGGCCTGGGTCACTGCATTATTCCTGCCCGCCTCCACCTCCCCTCAGGGCAGCTTTGCTGTAGGAGAGCAGTAAAACTTACAGGAATTTGCGGACACAGTGAGGAAGGGTGAGGAGCCGGGGAGGGAGGAGGGGGCACATCCCACTCTCAGTCAGCCTTGGGAGAGAGAACCCCAAAGGAATGAATGTCGGGTGCAGACGCTGAAGGAGAGGGGCCACTGAGACCCTGAGGCTGGCAGGGGGAGGGAGGGAGAGGCCCTGGGAGCTTTTTCAGCCAGAGGAGTGACCAGGAGAGCCGAAGCAGCTGGGTGGTCCAGCCTGGGTCTTTGGCTTCTTCCTTGACCCTGACTCTGTTAGGAGAAATAACTCTCCCTTCCCTACTTCAGCCCGGCCCGGCTTTCATACCTGTACAAACACACTGGCCCCAGCCTCCCAGGGTTGCAAGTAATTTATGTGCGCGCCTGCCCCTCCCGCAGACTGTGGGCTCTCCGTGGGCAGGGACCGTGTCTGATTCATCTCCGCCTCTTCCAGCCCCAGGCCTGGCTTGCCGGGGGCAGGAAGGGTGTGCAGAATTGAGCGCGCTCCTCGGGGTGCAGGGGAAATCGGGGCCTCTGTGCTGCTGAGTTCTCAGCACACAGTGAACCCCGAGCGTCCTGGTAGTAATTGTGGAGGTAAATCTTGTCTGGTCTCCTCGCAGACACTTGGTGAGGCATTCCATAAATATGTCAGCAGAAGCATTAAAATTTGATGGCAGGCAGCGCAGGTCGGGACTAGCACTGCGACTTCCCAGCAAGGTATGACACCTTCACCCTCCGTCTCATTAGTCAGCGGCGGGACATTCAGGCCTCAGCGCTGAGCCCAGCAGAGCCAGGGGAGGTGATTTCTTCCAAGGAGGACCCCTGGCTGCTCTGAGGGACAGGCCAAGGTCTGGGCCGCAGGAAAGTAAGTCAGCTTTGGGCTGAGCGAAGGAGTTCCTGAAGGCCTTGGGAATGTGCCAGGAGGTTTGAGGGTCTCCAAGCTGGAGGGGGCTGGGCCATTTTTGGAGGCTGGGAGCCAGTAATAGAGGCTGGGGGCTGGTTTTAGCTTTCCAGTCAGTCTTGTGGAAATTATCTATTTGCCCAAACACAGAAAAAGCCTCATAGAACATTTTTAAAAGGTATGGGATTGGATTCATAATTTTAACAAGCAAAGAGTCATTTGGGCAGAAACTGGGGGGAGGAAAACTATTCCTTAGTGGCAGAAAGACTGGAAACCAATCTTGTCTGTTTCCCACCCTGCCATTGTCCATTTGGGGAAACTGAGGCTAAGTGAACCTGGAAGGGATGGGTAGAGACGGAAGATCAGGGACTTGGACTCCTAGTTTGAGGCTTTCCTTACAATCAAGAATTTTAGGCATTTGTTGAAATATGAGAAAAACATCCTGAAATATAATTTTGCTCAAAAAAAAGTCCCAATGTATCTGTTTTTGCAATAGACACACAAAGCATGTGCTGTGTGCCAAGGATTGAGCTAAGTATCAAATAGCTCCTCACATTTGTATAATACTTTTCAATTCACAAAGGACTTTGAAATGCATCAATATTTAGTCCTCTGAGTGTTGTAATTACCATACTGCAAATTAGGAACTCAGACTCAGAGATTCAGGAGACTTCTTCGAGGCTGCCCAGCTAAGTGGCTGCTGGGCTTTGGCCAGGACTGACTGGCTGCACACCCAGGGGCTTTCCACCACCTCCCAGTTACCAACATGGAGTGGCAGCCACTCCTGCCCTCAATGCCTGTGCAGAAAATCAGCGCTCCCCTTTCTACAATTATTTACAAAAACCATGACGTGGTTCAGAGCTGTCAGGAGCCTTGGGTTTATCGGCCAGTATCCTACATTCTCAGCTGCCTTGTTGGGGAGTTGAAAGCAAGGACAGTCGTGTCTTTGTGGCCCATTCCATGTCAGCACCGTGTGCGTCCTGCTTACTGGCCTCTTTCTTGAAAGAAAGTGAGGACTCCCTTCCCTGGGGACAGAGGCAGTACACTTTGACTCAACAATGCAGCCTGGGCTGGCAGGTGATGGGACAGATTTCGGTACCCACTAAATGACAACATTTGAATGTCCTCAAGCCCACATTGCAGCCACTTCTTACAGGAAGCTTTCCTGGATACCCTAGCTAGTATGAAGTTCCATTTCTACTCTGCTTCTGAATCCATCTTGCCTTTTGCTGGCACCCGAATGTCTAGTTTTGGGTCTAAGAATCCCCTTTAATGCAGGCAGTTCCCTGAGGATTGAAGCCTAGGCGCATTTCACTGAGTATGCCTTACTGGGGGCCTAGCTCTGAGCTCTGAATGGAGTAGGACCACAGTGGATGCTGAATTAAATGGAGTTACCAAAATACACAGCATCACCAGTATAGGAGTCTAAAAGTGAAACATAGTCCCCAAGTCAAAGCTTAAGATAAGTTTTCCCCAAATTTAGTATAGGAGGACAGTGAAGAACTTTAGAAACTTGGGGAGAGATGTTACTTTCTACCATGCCCTACCTTTTAAATCATTCATTCCAACTCTGAAGTTGCTCCAGGTAGACCCATGGGAAGTGTGTATGACTGCCTGAACAAACCCAGTTGAGGCTAGACACACGAGAACCTAGTGAGTTTATTTGACACTTATCATGAATACATGAGTTGGATTTTCCTGGGAATGTAGTTCAATGTTATTCCTACTCAACTCTGCAGAACCTGGGGCCAAGTGGGTTAGGCCCTGGGATGGGGGCTTCTGGCAACATTCTAGACGTTCAAAGAGACTCTTCGGGTTTCCAGGCCAAGCATCTGCCAGTGGCCAAATGGATGCAGAGAAAAGGTGCTAAGGACAAAACCTAGAGCCTTCCTATCTTTGTAATCCGGCTTCAGTCTGGTACTGCTCTTTTTTTGCTTCTCCCTTTAGAAAATTTGTGTATTTTCAAGGTCAGGAGATCAAGACCATCCTGGCTAACATGGTGAAACCCCATCTCTGCTAAAAATACAAAAAATTAGCCAGGTGTGGAGGCGTGAACCCGTAGTCCCAGCTGCTGAGGAGGCTGAGGCAGGAGAATGGCGTGAACCTGGGAGGCAGAGCTTGCAGTGAGCCGAGATTGCACCACTGCACTCCAGCCTGGGCGACAGGGCGAGACTCCGCCTAAAAAAAAAAAGAGGAAAAAAGAAAGACGAAAATTTGTGTCTCTTTATTTTAGCTTGTACTTTTGCACTCTTTTGAAGTGAGCCGAACTGAGTGCTGTCATTATGTGGCAGGGGAGGCCTACTGAGGCCTGCAGGTGGGAGCTAAGCCGCTCAGGAGAGCACCAGTGTCCCTTTTCACTCATGGGACCTGCACGGTGGTTTCTGCAGTAAACACAGCCCACTTCTCTTTGTGTGTTTTATTCCCTTTCTCTGCCTTGCTGTCTCCATGTTTCTAGCAAAGATCGGGACTGGTGTTTCACTAATTCTTTCCAGCATGGATTTCACGACCTTTTCTGTTCTGACTCTGAAAGGGGCTGGCTCAAGGAACATCTGCTGGGCACACTTAGTGCTCACTCAGTCTGCATTGGTATTGTGGGCAAGCCCTGTGCTGGGGGTGGGGCTGCAGGGACCTGTCAGTCACAGATGGTCAGCCTTGGTTCCTGCCATTGAGGAGAAGCCAGACCCAACAGCAGGGGAAACAAGACAGGGTCACAGACAGCCCTGAATCTGTGTGCCCTGGGACATGGGCAGTGATAGACCCAGGGCTGGGGACTCAGGGACCAGTGGGGGACTGCTCTCAGCTGGGATGATTAATCCAGAAAGCCTTCCTGGAGGAGGTGGTATTTGAGCTGGGTCTTGACAAATAGGAGAATTGGACATGAGGAAGGGAAGGAAGGTGGTGTTTGGGATGAAGGAAACAGCATGAGAGATGGAAACGGCCCCGTGGAGTAGGTGTGCAGAACAACTGGTGGTGTGGTTGGCCTGGAATATGGCTTGTGGCGGGTAGGGGTGGAGTGGAGGATGTGGGCAGTGGGAGGTGTGGCTGAGAAGCTCCATGGGAACCAGCCCCTGAAGGGCCTTGACCGCCACCAGGCGGCGTCTGGGGTGTTGATCTTCACAAAGTGCTACCTGTGGGCACTCCCAGCACAGGGCACTGCAGTACCCCCCTCCCCACCTCACGCATGCACACAAATCAGGTGTTATCTTGCACCCTAGTGAGGCTTCAGGGGGGTCATTTGTACATGCCCATTGTTTGCTTAGATGAGGGCAGGACAGGACAGAATTTTGGAATAGGACCACAGCAGCAGAATGGATTAAACTTGGACCAGTGTTGTTCAAAATGTGCCATGGCATAGCCAGGGATCTCAAATGGAAATGCCTGCAGGGGCCAGGCAGGTTACAGAAAGAAAGGTCAGCCTTGGAGGCAAGTACAACAGATCTAGATAGATGGAAGTCCTGTGGCTACTGATACTTGCCCCTTTCAAACACCAGGAGCCGATCAATTGTTTCCTCCTGGCCCCATGTGTCTCGAGGCCCCCAGCTCTTGCCTGTGATGGATGGCCAGCTGGTGGAGTCGGACCTGTGCCCTGTGGCAGAGGCACCGTGATGCCGCAGTGGAGTTTGTTTCCACTGAATTCCCTAGAGGATCCTTGGATTTGGGTTTTTGTAGTTGTAGACAACAGGAAGGGGACACAACAGCCTCTTCTTTACAGAGGATCACACTGAGGCCCAGAAAGGCCACTTGGCCACCGCACAGCTGGCAGGTGGCAGAGTCCTGGCCTCCACGCCAGGCTCCCTGGGGCTCACCCAGGCCTGCCGTCCAGCTGTGGGGTCCGCGGCTCTCGGGAGAAACAGAAGTGAGACACATTGTGCATTCTGCCCCTCATGCTCACCCTCTCTCTCGGTTTTTCTCTTCCCTCTGTTTTTCTGAAGGCCCTCGTGGCTGGCCTGAGCTGGTGGGAGAGAGGTTTTTCCCAGCAATGGATCGATGCACGGCTGTCGGGGCCGACAGGCTGACCTTTACTGAGCTCAGGTTTTCATCTCCCTGTTGGGAGCCCAGGAAGGTCTTGCTGTGGAGAGAGGAACGGTGAGAAGCCTTGGCCTGCGAGGGGGAGAGGCTTGGCGTGGGTGCAGTGAAGACAGCTTCTGAGAGCTGAAAGCCCTTGGAGGTCACTTATTTCAATTTCTTCCAAACACACCACTTTTACAGATGAGAAAACTGAGACTTGGTGAGAAATGACTTGTCCAAGGTCACTCTAAGAGGCTTTGACACAGCTCCAGAATCCAGTGTGTGTGTATGTGTGTGTGTACACATCCAACATACATACATCTGTATATTATAAATATTATACATATTATTACGTATACATACACAGATACATTATATGCATGTGTACGTGTATATCGGGAGTGTCTATACATGTGTATTATGAAAGCCTGGCTGTGGCTACGTGTGATGCCGTGCCTGCGCTCACTCTGGTCGTCAACAGTTTGGTCCCGCAACATCCCGGGTAGCCGCCGATCCCTGAGCCACCAGGCATTTCATGCAGTTCTGCAAAGCCATGGAGAGGAGCTGAAGAAACCTCATGGTCCTTTTCAAATCGTTTCTTCCTCCTCCTCCTCTGCAAAGATTTTCTCTAAGCCCAGTTTGAATCCTTCAGAAACAGAACTTGGCTGCGAAGTCACTTTGAAAGACTTTCCATATGTTAATTGCAGCCGGCCAAGGTCTGGAGCAGAGGTGGGAGCCCACCATCTGCAGACGGGGTCGGCCCCCAGTGCGCTCTGCAAATCCCCGTCATCTGGCAGGTGTCGTTTTGGGTTAATTAAGAGCTATACTGAGCCCGTTTACCTGTCACTTCTGAGAATTTTAGGAAACTTTGACTTTCTTGCCATCTCTGAGCTTTGAGCGAAGGGGAAGCTGAAAACACCTCTGAATCTGGTGATGTTTCTGCCTCTGGGATCTCCAGGACAGCTGCATTAAGTGCATCTTATCATAACCCCTTTTTAAACTTTTTATTTTAATCAGTGTTCTCTAGTTAGTGCATTGGTTTTTACAGTCACGTCTTCTATATTGGAAGACAGTACTGTTTGGGGGAAACCCACCATTTGTCTGAAATTTCTTAAGGCTCTGCTTTCTCTCTGTGTCTTTGAGGAAACAGCATACATTCCTCTAGCTTTGTTCTGTGTAATGGCTTTGGAGAAACTTTGAATTTGCAGGTCAGGGGCTCTTTCACCCATTGGGGTTTGGGGCTGTCAGTGCTAACCTCAGAGCTCTATGTTCATGGAGGGATGACTCAGTTACATCCCCAGATAGCTGGGTTCTCGGTTGGTCAATAGGCCCCCTTCTTCAGTATGAGAGAATTTTCTCTCTGTGCTGTTGACAATGTTCTATTAATATATCTTGGTAGGGGTTTGGGTCACACAGATCTATGCATTTGTCAAAACACAGCAATAGCACATTTAAGATTTGTGTGTTTCATTATGTGTAAATTTTGTATCCAAAGAAAAAACTAGTAAACAAGTAATGAACTTCAGTTAATTGTATGCATGCTGAAGTACTTAGGGGAAAGTGTACTGATGTTTGCATTTACTTGGAAATGAAATACACATTAAGGTGAAAGAAAGGCTAGAGGGATGAAGATCGATATGACAAGCAAGCATAAGAAAACATTGATGGTAGAATTAGGAGGTGGCTACATAGGTGTTCACTATAACATTCTTTCAACTTTGCTGTATGCTTGAAAAGTTTCAAATACATCAGGGGTGAAGAAGGATGTGATGAGAAGATTTCCCTTTCCTCTGCTGGCCCAGCTCAACGAGGTGTTCCTTGGGATGGTGGGATCCCTGGGGTCTGGGAATATAGGCCAGGGTCCCAGGCCCTGCTCTGTTCCTGACTGGCTAGAAGACCCTGGGGATGGAAAGGTTGAGGGAACGTATCTCTAAAGTTCATCCCAGGCCTGATCATCTGTGACTATGAGTGATGGCACAGGTTGGTAAGTTTCAACATAAGATGAATTTGTTGCGTGAAGGGAGGAAGAAGTGCATTGCTCGGGGTTAGGCAGAATGCCGGGAGGGACTGTCAGCCTTGAGATGCCCAGTGGGAAGCCACGTTCCTTCTGCCCCAGCCCGGGCTCCTCTGCTCCGCGTCCTCCTCACCAGGGTTATTGTGAGGGTGAGGTGCCATGGCCTCGGAGCTGCTCCTTGACTGCCAGCGTTCTGTTTCTAGTCTCGCCGTCATTTTTTTCCTCCGAAGGCTACCTTCCAGACAGTTCCCACGCAGCCCTCCCCTCCTGTCTACCTGGCCTCTGAGGGACTGCATGTGCTGGGCCTCTGCCAAGTCCCTTCTCCTTTCTGAGACTCAGTTTCCCAATCTGCGACACAAGGGCATGTTGAGTATGTGGATCTCACCAATCCCTTCCGGTTCTGTCACTTCCACAGCTCTGTATTTCTTTCTGTCACTGGGTTTCCTCTTCCCACCTGCCCAGGATCAAAGGGTGAAGGGGCAGGGGGAGGAGCTGGGATCAGAGGGCTTGGGTGGGGGCAGAATTTCTGAGTTTGTTCTCTCTCAATGAGAGAAGGTACCTAGTCCCCACCACACAGGGGTTTGCAAAGAGCATCTGCAAACGTGAAGTCATTTGATCTTCTCCATAAGCTTAACAAGTAGGGATTTTCCTTCCCTCCATTTTATAGATGAAGAAACTGAGACTCAACAGGTGAATGCATGTACCCAAAGCCACACAGCTTGGAAGAGGAAGAGCCGGCCTGGAGCTTGGGTCTGTGTGACTTCAAAGGCCATTTTCTGTCTTCTCCTCCAATGTGGGCAGCTCTGGGCAACAGCAGAGAGCAGAGCACACCTTGGGTGTGGCCTGGAGCATGGCCTAGAAGGGGACCAGCCCTCTGTTCTTAATTCTGTCAACAGCAGCTAGAGAAGGGGGATCAGAGAAGGGGGATCAGCCCGGATGCCCTGGAATCCCATCGTGGGCCATCTGCCTGCCCCTCCTCCCTGCCTTTGCTCATGCAGTTGCCTCCTCTGGCCCCACCATGCCTTTCTCTGATTCCAATAATCCCAACAGCTGGCCAGCATCACCTGGCACTTTGAAATCAAGGTAAAATTGATTCAAACCCTCATTTGCCACCTAGTGGGAAAATCCTATGTTCTCCTTAAGATTTCTGCCCCATTTCCAGGTGGAGGCTCACTTTCCCATGCTCACCTCAGGCTCAGGCTTCTCGGGACATTCTTCAGCCACTTTCTTTCATCTCAATCCCGCTGGCTCCTTCCTCTGATTTCCATGTGGGGAGAAAACACCAACCCGGCCATCCAAGGCATTTGAGTGTGAGTGAGCAGAAATGGCAGAGGTAGATTAAACACCCAACAGACAACTGAAAATGGGAACTTGGGCACCCCACTTCTTCAATGTTCTTCTACCCCCAGCCCCACCGAAAGCTATCAAATTACGTTTAGGGCCTCAGTTAGTTTTCAGAGGAGGCTCTTTCTTCTTCCATCTCCACCCAACATCCCCAGTCCCCTTGGCCTGGGGAAAAGGTAGTTTTGTTCTTCCAGTAACATTCTTTCACTTACTTCTTGCCAATCCTATGATGTAGGTGCTTTTATTTTGCCCATATTCAAGATGAGGAGGCTCTGCCTGGAAGGTTCAATCGCTTGCCCAAGGCCACAAAACCAGTGAGCAGATGGCCTGATGGCAGAGCGTGCTTTCAGCCCCGCCGCAGGAATGCCTGTGTCCACCACATGCCCACCTGCCTTCTGCCCCCACAGCACCATTTTGGGGCCCAGTTTACAGTGCCAACTGCAGGCCCAGTCCCATGAGGCTTTGGGTCCAGTCCTGTTTTCTCCCCGGGACTGCTTGCTCCTGGGGGAATGCCGATGGAGAAGTTGGAGGCACGTGTTTTGTTGTTGAAAGAGTTCTTAGGGGTTTCCATGTGACCAACTCCAGAGAGCGCCAGGAACCACCTCTGAGAATGGCCATGTGCTGTGTGTCTCCCAGAGGCGGGTCTCACTGCCCACTGAGGGACAGCCACTCCGATGTAAGCTGGCACCTACCAGAACTCACAGCAGCTTTTCTATGAATACGTAAAGAAAAGTTTCCCAATTCCAGGGGTTAGTATTTTTGAGAGATGCCAAAAGTGTGGGTCAGTTAGAAGGAGGCGAAGGGCCCGTGGTGTCCCTTGTGCTGGGCACGGTCATCTGAAAGGGGTTCATTGTGGGAACTTTGTCTTGGGCCTGTTGGCTGCACCTCCGGAGGCCGCAACAAAAGACAGAAGCAGGGGCTTTCATTTCCTTCCCCAAGAATGTCCTTCCTGCACATGAGGAACATCATTTTGTGCCTAAGGATGCCACTGCTGTGTCATCTCCCAGGTCCAGTCCCTCTTGCTTAGACTGTGGCCACAGCCACCTGGAGGGGCCCCCTGACTGCAAGCTGTCCTCCTCCAGCCTGTCCTCCAGATTCTGGCACTCACCAGTCTGAAGCCTTGGCTGATCCCAGCCCTAATGAGAGAAAAGCATTACACTCTTGCCCCACGCCTGCTCTGCCCTGCAGCTGCCTCTGCGGGGCCTCACGGAAGACCTGGCCATGCAGGGGCCACGTTCTGCCCAGCCCCACTGCCGGGCCTTTGCTTGTGCCTGGAATGCCCGCCTCTCTCTGCCATCAAAGTCCTACCCACCCTTCAAGTCCTGGTTCACGTGGTCGCTTCCACTCCCAGAAAGTGTTCCCAGGCCTTCTCTGGACTGTTGACTAAGGACCTAGCTTCTCCGGATCTCATGGGGTGAGGGCTCCCTACACTCAGACAGCTTCTTGTGTGGCACTTCAGATAATCAGACACCATCCCAGAGTCCCCAGCAGGTGGCTGAACCAGCCTCTAGGTCAGCCTCACGACCCGTACATGGTCAAACGCCCCTTACCCAGAGCGTATTGCTCTCATAGGGCAGGGGCCCCATGTTGGGGGTGCCCACCACACTACCACTCTTAGCACACCAGGCAAGCCAGTCCCTGGTAGGCTCATTTCTCCCACCAAGGGGCAGGATGGTGTGGTGGGCAATGGAATAGGAGAAATTGGTTTGGATCCTGGCACATAGCAGGTGTCCAACACACCCCTGGCTGTGGGTGCTAATAACGGAGGCCGTGAGAGCTGTCGCCTGAGTTAGAGAGTCTGCTCTGGAAGCGTGTGCCTGGTTGACCTAGGAGTCTCATTCGTTCATTCATTCATTCAACAAATAATTATTCCTGCCTACTAGAGGCCAGGCCCTGTGCTAGAGGTTGGGATCAACACGTGAACAGACAAAACTCCCTGCCCCCATGGAGCTTACATCCTAGTGGAAGAGGCAGATTATAATAAGATAAGCAGGATAAACAAGACAGGTTGGATTGTGATCAGCTCTATGGAGAAAAAAAAGCAGGAAAGAGAGATGGGGTGGAAGGAACTTCCCTTTTAAACACAGTGATCAGGGAAGGCTTCCCCATGCTACAGAGAGCTGGTGAGCAACCAGGAATTGTTCAGACACTCATTGTCTGCTGTGGACTGGGCACCAAGCTGGGGTGAGGGTGGCACACAGGTGCAGAGAGGAATCCAACGGACCTGCAGGGCCAAGCATGCCCACGTACAACGGATTCCCCTGCAGGTCAGGGCAAAGCCAGTGCTGCAGAACCACACGGGAGACTGGGATCGGAAGAGGAGGGGTGGGAGAGGGGCTTCCCAGAGGAAAAGGTAGCCAAGGACCTCTACATTCACCACTGTAAGGCTAGAAAGGTGGGGACAGGGTAGAGGATGGTGGGTGACACTGACTTAGGCACATCCTATGAAGGAATTGGGAGCTGTTTATGGCCCTTTGCAGGAGCCAAAGCCAATCTGGGGATGGATAATATGTCCACAATGAACTAACTCCAGCCAGATGGACCTGAGACTTGCACTTTGTGGGGCTGGAGATCTGGGAGGCTTCCTGGAAGAAGTGGCCTTGAAGCTGGGCCAGGCAGCAGAGGCGACGCTAAACAAAGATGCAGAGGTGGCCTCTGCCACAGTAGCCCAATGCCCTGGGCTCGGCATTGTCAAGAAGTGCCTCTGATAGGGCAGGTCCACGGGTGCTCAGAGTCCCGAGGGGAGGGCGCTGTCCCTGTTCTCCAGGCTGCGCTGTGTCTCTACTCCCCCACCTGAGGAGGAGGAGGCTCCGTGGTGCTGATGGATATGCCGGAGCCGGGCGGCTGCAGCCCACTGTCATCGGGCTCTCCCTCTGCATGCCAGAACCTGACACCCTGACCACTGAGGCATAAAAAACAGAGAATTGGAAGGCTCAGCCTGTCAGGCTGGGAGTGGCCCCCAGAGAGGCCCGAGGAGGAGCGCGAGCATGTGTGTGTGTGTGTGTGTGTGTGTGTGTGTGGACACGCTCTGCCTGTGGTTGTGAGGTGCGGGGGAAGCCAGCTAGACCTAGGAGGTGGGAGTGGCTGGCCCCTCAGTCCTGCCTCATTATTCCTGCCCCACCTGGCAGATCCCCAGGGGCCCACCTCTAGGCTTGGGTTGTAGGAGAGAGAGCAGGCTCTTGGTCCCGGGTTCTGGCTGGCCCGTTCTGGAATCTCTCACCCTTCGGCCCTTTGTAAGCATCCTTGTAGGGGATCGTGGAGGCAGGCTTGGGCCACGAGTGGGCTCATGGGGCTATGTAACTCCTGTCACCTCCAGTAGGGAAGGGCTCCCATGCTCTGTACCCAGCAGCAGCCAGCTTTCCATGCCCTGTTCCAGGGCCTCTACTGAATACAGTCTGCCGGGTACTGGGCACCTGGCGATGAGTCCAGGCTGAAGCCTACTCTTTGGGATCCCCTATAGCCATGGGGGAAGACAGGCAGGCCCTGCCAGCTACAAGACCAAGGCAGCAAGGTGGTAAGGGACAGAATTGTGAACTCTCCTCCTAGTGACCTGGCCAGTAGTAAAGAGGCTCTCCTGGGACGGGCACCCAGAGCCCAGGGAAGTGCCAGAGGCAGGTATTACTGCTCCATGAGCACCTGGCCTGAGTGAACCATGTTCGGGTCCCACCATGCCCCACAATGCTCATCACACCCTGGCACACCTCACAGCTCCTGCCCAAGCACGCCCACAGCTGCCAACAGCTGCCCCCTCCCCAGTGGCCAGAAGGCCCCAACCACTCCCTCTTCTGTGCTCCCCTAGCCCTTTGGCTTGTTGTTTCATTTCAGCACAGTTCTGTCTGCCTCCTCCAGGCAGAGGGCCTGGGTTTATGTCTCATCTCCCTGACGAGACTGAGGCCCCAGGGACAGCCACCCCTGCCTTCACAGCACAGAGGGCCAGGCTAGGGTTGAGGTTACCTTTGGCTTCTCTGTCCAGAGCCACTCATCAGCAGGTGGGGGGTAGAACTGAGCCCATTCTGGGGTCCTGGATTGGCTTCACTCAGGGATGAGAACCAAGCAGTCTGCAGCCTTGAACTTAGCAAGGTGTATCAAGACCATTTTGTGAGACGACCTGGGCATCAGCCTTCTCATATGTAAAATGAGCCAATGACCCCAAGGAACATCTGGCACATGGGGCCACAGAACGACATGGGAGTTCCATGGTACACATGTGAGAGTCTGCCATTCACTCCCACTGATAAGGAGGGGAAATACAGACAATGCCAGTGACAGCTGCCCACTCCATAATGATGTGGACCTGACTTGCTTTTGTTGGTTACAAAAGCGCCTGCAACTCACGGAAGAGGCAAATGCCATTGGCAACCAGGCTGGCTGGGACCCAGGGCCTTTTCTGAACTGGATTTGACGTTTGGTTCCTGTTTCTCTCTCCACCCACCATACACAGGGAGTGAGTTTTCCGGGAGTCCCTACAGCCACCCTCAGTATTCCTCGTACAACGACTCCTGGAGGTTCCCCAACCCGGGGCTGCTTGGTGAGTACTGGCGGAGGCCCTGCGGGGCCCTTGGGCCATCAGCTACCCCATCCAGGCCTCCTCACTGGCCTGGGTCCCTCGACATCCTGAGGTCTGGTCACTGAGGTGGGTGGGTAGCTTGCCCAGACACATGGAGCACAGGTGTTTTCATGGGGGCCTTAGGGCAGTAAATAGTGCTCCAGCCCTGCTCATGCCCTCCTCCCTCCCCCAGATGCTTTGGTGGGTTAGGAAAAATGGCACAGAAGGGAAACAGAGGAAAAAAGGGGCATTGAAGGAGAAAGAGGAAGGTAGGAAAAGTGCCTACCTGTGAGTAACTTGTATTTCTTAAGCATAATGACATATTCAGGCGAGAACTCTCTAAATAAGTGTCAGTAAAGATACCAACTTGAATCGATTGGTAGTGGCTGCCTGGAGACCACCTTGATAAAGACCCTGATGCCCAGTGATTGATTAGTGATGTCTGCATGGACATCACCAGAGCCGGCTCTGTTAGAACCTGGTTGCCTGTGGCTGGAGGTCTGACAAAGCATGCCATTTAGGGCTCAGCTGGTGCCCACCCTCTGCCCAAGCCTTGGATTGGCAGATTGTCCGTGACTGGTGGCAGTCTGATCTGTGAACATCATCAAGATTTGGGCCACCGCAAAGACCATGCAAGTCTAACTCAGCTTTCAAAAGGCCAAGGGGAGCCCTCTGTTTTGTTGGACTGACCTTACATGAAACCAGCTAGTGAGTGCCAGTTGGAGCTAAAGGTTCTGGGACATGAAGTAGAGGCATGGGCTCAAAGATGTCACTCACCATCTGGGAGGTGGAGCCAGCCAATCAGCCTGCAGATAGCAACATGGAGCCCTCCCCCAGCAGTCAGCTAAGAATTTTCTACTTCGAGCAGTAAAAGGTCAGACATGGAAGGGCCCTCTGAGACCACCCAGGTTTATCTGCCCAGCTTAACAAGGCCTCCTTAAGGAAGAACCTTTTAATTCCTTGGATCCTTAATTATTTTGGGACTGAGAAACAGGCTTCATCAGAAAAGCCATAACCTGGTGTCTTCAAACTCAAGTTGCCAAACCATAGGTCTGTGAAAAAGGCCATGTAATCTCAGCCTTGACCCCTTCCCAAACCTGATTTGGTGGCTAGGACAGACACACAGTATGGAAACCACTTCTCTCTTGCTACTACCATTCCATGCTCTTGGGACCTTGGGCTGTCCAAAGGATTTTGGTGTGTCATGCATGACTTGGGGATTCAATAAGAAACAATTCCCATTAGTGCTGCAGGTCCCTGTGCAAGGAGATTGCAAGCCTTGCAGAAGACTCCTAGCTTCTTATTATCTGTGGTCTCCAAGAGGGGCAGAATCTGCAGATTGATCTCTTCTCAGACTCCTTTTTTGGTTTTGGTCAAAATTAGTTCTAAGTATCGAACCAAGATATCCGCTTACCTAATGTTTTTTTCTTAAATGGACTATTTGAGTTGACCCAGACGTCTGTCTTAGGAAACAGGAGGCATGGGCTGGCTGTGGGCTCCCTGAACCAGTGTCTTCCAGCAGGGGTGGGGGTAGGGAGATGAGTCTTGAGGCCCAAACCTGGGAGTCCTTCCCAGGAAATCTGCCTCAGGCAGAGGCCTGATCCCAGTCCTGCTGGGAGACCCCAGGGGATATGGCACACAGGAGACCTGGACACTGGCCTGTGGGAGAGGTTCCTTCTGATGGAGAGGTGACCCCAAGGAGGCCATAGTGGCCCAGGGCTGCCACACATGACTGCACTGCCCAAGGGGACAAGTGGGAGCTGAACCCCAGCCCATGCATGGCACAAAACCCTGAGCCCTGGCACGGGGCTGCACCTTCTCAAAAGGGACACATTTTTCTCATTTTTACAAGGTTCCTAGAGGTTGATAGTGGCTGTCATTTATTTGCCTGGGAATTCAAGAAGCAGAGAAATTAGAAGAAACTTCTCAGGCACGTGTGGCAAAGGCTTGGTGTAGGAGGTGGGGCTATCTGTGGAGTGTGCAGAGTGGCCCCTTGAAGGCCAGGCTGGGGAGTTTGGACCTGACTGTGTAGGTCTGAGGAGATAGGGAGGGGAGGGCAGGACTAGACTACATCCAAGGCTTTTGCTACTCAAGCTGGAGTGAAATCTAGTTCACAGCCCCAATTGTTAGGCTTGGGCTGTGTGCCTGTTGTGGAAAAGATGCACACTCTGTCCCAGGGAGCTCACAGGCTGTGGGTGGGAGCCTCAGGCAGGGGTGTCTGGCTGGGAAGTGCTCAGTACCTTTAGGGGGCCAGAGACAGCATGGAGAGGAGGAAAAGGAAGCAAAGCTCCATTCATCTACATGAGCGCTTGCTAATTGTACCAGGCACCCAAAACCCTTTTTACATGGGCTATCTGATGTCGTCCTCTCAGCAACCCTACAGAGCACATATTATTATCTCTATTATACGGAAGAGGACAATGAGGCTCAGAAAGGTGAACTAATTCACCTGAGGTCACACAGCATTCAGGTGGCAGAAGGAGGATTTAAATTCAGGTCACCCTGACACCAGAGCCTATTTCTGGAACCAGTATGTGATGTGGTACTCTACTCTCCCTGACTGAGTCGCAGTTTGAACAACAGCAAGCCAGGAAAAGAGGCCTCACCCCTCTGTAGAAACAGGCCTTGGGAGTCCTGAGTCCTGAATACTCAGACCTGTGTGTGAGTGATGAGACTGGCTCTGGTCCAGCTTTGAAAGCAGGTTACTATCTGTATCTGTCAGACTTTCAGTTTCAAACAACAGAATCCACTCTGACTGGCTTAAGCAGAAAATGAATTTATTAAGGGATATTTGGGACTCCTAGAATCTCCAGGAGGACAAAAAGAGGTAGGCATGGGACACAGCCAGGACAACACCCACCACACAACTAGAGTTGCACTAGCATCAACAGCCCTGCTGCCAGCCAGCACCCAGCCTGCAGCTCCACTCCACTGTAACTTTTCCCGGGGTGCTTGGAACTGGGCACCAGAAGCTCTGTCCTGCCCCCAGCCAAAGCTGGATGCCTTTGCCACCCACTCCCAACAGATGGAGTCCCCCAGCCCACTGCTTCAAGGGGCTACCTTCTCAATCAAGGTCATATACAAGAAAGTCTAATTGGCAGAGCCCATGAAACACACCTGTGCCCTAGCAGCAAGGGAAGCTGGAAGGATGAGTTCTGACTTCTGGCTCAAAGAAGCAGGCCTCCTACTGCAGAATCTCTACAAACACAGGAAGAGCACAAACGATATTGGCCAGAAACAAACATGAGAAATGGTCCCTGCACTGCCCAAGTCTATAACCTGGAGGAGCCTAGGCAGGTCTGGGCCTCAGTTGCCTCGGATGTAAATTGAGGATAGTCATCCCTGCAGCCTCATTCCAACAGGAGCTGCATGCATGCTCTCTTGAGATGTGCAGGGCAGAGGAAGCAGTGATCCCACCTTCCTGAAGATGGGTGAGATTGCTGCCTCCCCAACCCACAGCCTTGCAAATAGCTCCAGGCCCGTTCACCTCTCCCGGCCCGCCCTGCCCCACGGTGTCTTCAGCGTGGCCTGAGAGAATACCCCAGGGCAGGTAGACCTAGATGGGTTATTCGTGACATCTGGGGAGGGCGCCAGGGCATGGAAACCTGTCCGGAGGTCCCTTGGTGCTCCTGTTAGATTGGTGCGCTCTGTGGAACAGGCGAGAACCCTACACACACACATGCACACACACACAGACGCACGCTCACACTCATACACTCACACACACACACGCACACACACACAGGCACACACACGCTCACACACTGATACACTCACACACACATGCACACATACACGCACATACACACACAGACACATGCTCACATCCCCACTCCCACTCGCACACACCCTCGCATGTGCTGCCCACACCTCGTCCAACCTGGCTGAAGCCTCCTTCCCAGGAATGGCCAAGGTGAGGATCAGCGATGCCAGGAGATGAAGCAGAAGGACTGGGGCACTTTGACTTCTCGGGAGAATGTCCCTCAGCCAGGGCAACTGTGACTCAGCATCCCACCAGGGCCCCAGGGTGGCAAGGGGGCTGCGGTCCCGGCAGGAAGAAAGGCCGGCTGCGGTCAATTAGGATTAGAATAGGAGTGCCTGTGGCCGATGTGAAGGGATTAGAGAGAAAGCAGAACCGGGAATGACTGTGTCAAGCAGTAAATTGACCATAATGTGAATTAGAGAGGAAAAATGACAGAAGAAAGGACAAGTTTATTCTAGATGGAGGTTTAATGGGCGCCAGGAAGACAGAGTGCTTTGTGAGGTGATGTTTTCATTTTTCACAGTAAATGCAAGCTTTCACACGGAGGCCCGCTGGAGGGTCTAGCCTGGCTTTGGGAGGGAGTGGGTCAGAGTCCAGGGTGAGAGGTGGCTGGGGTTGAGGGCTTGGAGGGTCAAGCCAGGGATCCTCCAAGGAGAAGACTCTACTTCCGTTTCCTGTCCTCTGGGGCCCGTGTGTAGGGCAGACCCTGTGATTACCCTGCCTTCGTGCCATGCCCCTCTCATGCACACACACCCGCCTTCCTCTGGGCTCACCTGCAGGCAGGGTGAAGGGCAGGCACTGCAGACACTCCATGGGTGGCTGTCCCCATCCCTCAGAAGAGAGAATAGAGGAAGGCTGACAGGGGTCTCTGAGTCGGGACTGCAGCCAGGGAGGTGACAGAAGAGGCGGCAGAAGAAAACCCATCTCAGGGAATACTTAGGCACGGGGTTGGTGTTTGTGCTGTCTGGAACAGCACAGCAAGGTACTAGCCCCTCCACTGCCATACTGCCTCCTTGGGGTGATGGGGAGGGAGCAGCACATCGGCTCATCAGGGCTGAATGAGGAGGAGAGGTGGTGCATCCCAAAGTGTCACCCCTACTCTGGCAGACTCCAGGACTCAGCCCCCAGTTATGGTACAGGTCGACTCTCCCTAATCCAAAAGCCAACTTGCTAGAACCATCTTGCACTCTCCAGAGCTTCTTTCTGACCTTGGATCCCCTTCCTGCTCTGAATATTAACCTGTGTCAGGCTGGCGTTTGCCCCATTATTGCCCAGCCCTGCCCCCAGCAGGGTCAGGAAATGAGTGGTGAATGAATGAGTTAATGAATGAATGGGCAGGGGGTGTCTTCGCTATTGTTTGCTCACTCAGCAAAGTTGGTTCATTTACATGTCCAATCCAGCTAAGCAGGTGCCACATATGGCTCCAGGCTGGAACTGGGGACAGACTCCCAGGAAGAGCAGAACCCAGCTTCTGCCTTTTGGGGGCTCTCCATCTGGGGATGGGGGAAGTGCAGAAAGAAGTCTTTCCCATAGCATAGGGACAGACTACAGGGGAGTGTGAGCTCAGGGCAGGGGGCTTCCCAGAGGAGGAGACAGGGCTCTGAGATTTGAAAGAGGCATAGAAGTTTAACAGATGGGAAAAGGGGTGAGGGTGCAGGCCAAGAGTTCCAGGCAGGAAGCACATTGTGGGGAAAGGCACAGAGGCAGGAGAGTATGCTAGCATGAGCTAAACTGTGCCTACCCCATAGGTTTAAATGAGATAATACATGCACAGGCCCTAGCAGGGCCAGGCACAGAGGATGTGCTCATCTGTTCGCATTGTGTATGTATGAGACAGCTGCAAGGAGTTTCATCCAGCTTAAGCATGATATATGAGTGTGGGCAGGAGGGGCCTTCCCTGAGGGAAATGAATTCAGAGATGCTGGCTGGGGATAGCTCACAGAGCACCTGCAGGCCAAACAAAGGGAATGCTTTTCATGTTTTTATCTTCTAGGTCAGGGGTTGGCAAATGATTTCTATAAAGAGCCAGAGAGTAAATATTTTAGGCTTTGCAGGCCACAGTGTCTCTGTTGCAACTATCCAACTCTGTCGTAATAGCAGTAAAGCAGTAATGGGCAATGCCTGCATTCATAGGCAAGACTGTGTTCCAGTAAAATGTTATTCACTAAAACGGGCAGCTGGGAGGATTGGACCCAAGGGCCCCAGGCTCCGGACCCCAGCTCTAGATGGCGAAGAGCCTCGAAATCTTATGAGCAGGTTGTGGCCCTGATGGGACTTGCCATCTGGGGAACAGACTGGGACAGAGATCTTGGTGAGAGAGGATGGTGGCCCGGACTGAGTGAGGGGAGGAAAGGACAGAAGTGGAGGAGACTGGTGGAAAGGGGACCCCGGATCTGACCTCGGTGCTCTCTCCCGTCTCTTCCAGGCTCCCCCTACTATTATAGCGCTGCCGCCCGAGGAGCCGCCCCACCTGCAGCCGCCACTGCCTATGACCGTCACTGACCCTTGGAGCCAGGCGGGCACCAAACACTGATGGCACCTATTGAGGGTGACAGCCACCCAGCCCTCCTGAAGATAGCCAGAGAGCCCATGAGACCGTCCCCCAGCATCCCCCACTTGCCTGAAGCTCCCCTCTTCCTCTCTTCCTCCAGGGACTCTGGGGCCCTTTGGTGGGGCCGTTGGACTTCTGGATGCTTGTCTATTTCTAAAAGCCAATCTATGAGCTTCTCCCGATGGCCACTGGGTCTCTGCAAACCAATAGACTGTCCTGCAAATAACCGCAGCCCCAGCCCAGCCTGCCTGTCCTCCAGCTGTCTGACTATCCATCCATCATAACCACCCCAGCCTGGGAAGGAGAGCTTGCTTTTGTTGCTTCAGCAGCACCCATGTAAATACCTTCTTGCTTTTCTGTGGGCCTGAAGGTCCGACTGAGAAGACTGCTCCACCCATGATGCATCTCGCACTCTTGGTGCATCACCGGACATCTTAGACCTATGGCAGAGCATCCTCTCTGCCCTGGGTGACCCTGGCAGGTGCGCTCAGAGCTGTCCTCAAGATGGAGGATGCTGCCCTTGGGCCCCAGCCTCCTGCTCATCCCTCCTTCTTTAGTATCTTTACGAGGAGTCTCACTGGGCTGGTTGTGCTGCAGGCTCCCCCTGAGGCCCCTCTCCAAGAGGAGCACACTTTGGGGAGATGTCCTGGTTTCCTGCCTCCATTTCTCTGGGACCGATGCAGTATCAGCAGCTCTTTTCCAGATCAAAGAACTCAAAGAAAACTGTCTGGGAGATTCCTCAGCTACTTTTCCGAAGCAGAATGTCATCCGAGGTATTGATTACATTGTGGACTTTGAATGTGAGGGCTGGATGGGACGCAGGAGATCATCTGATCCCAGCCAAGGAGGGGCCTGAGGCTCTCCCTACTCCCTCAGCCCCTGGAACGGTGTTTTCTGAGGCATGCCCAGGTTCAGGTCACTTCGGACACCTGCCATGGACACTTCACCCACCCTCCAGGACCCCAGCAAGTGGATTCTGGGCAAGCCTGTTCCGGTGATGTAGACAATAATTAACACAGAGGACTTTCCCCCACACCCAGATCACAAACAGCCTACAGCCAGAACTTCTGAGCATCCTCTCGGGGCAGACCCTCCCCGTCCTCGTGGAGCTTAGCAGGCAGCTGGGCATGGAGGTGCTGGGGCTGGGGCAGATGCCTAATTTCGCACAATGCATGCCCACCTGTTGATCTAAGGGGCCGCGATGGTCAGGGCCACGGCCAAGGGCCAC
This sequence comes from Homo sapiens, assembly GCF_000001405.40. Lineage (NCBI taxonomy): Eukaryota > Metazoa > Chordata > Mammalia > Primates > Hominidae > Homo > Homo sapiens. The sequence continues at coordinate 36,839,282 of NC_000009.12, read as the reverse complement.
GGGAACTTGGAGAGGGAGCTTGGAGAACTCACTGTGGGCTAGGGTGGTCAGAGGAAGCCAGCAGGGAAGATCTGGGGGACAGAGGAAGGCCTCCTGAGGGAGGGGCAGGAGAGCAGTGAGGAGCTGCTGTGTGACCTGGGAGTGATTTTGACATGGGGGTGCCAGGTGCCATCATCTCTTTACCTGGGGCCTTAATTCCTTGCATAGTCTCTCTTGTCAAGTCAGAACAGCCAGGTAGAGCCCTTGTCCAAACCTGGGCTGAATGACAGTGATGAGAGGGGGCTTGGCCTTCTTAGGTGACAATGTCCCCCATATCTGTATGTCACCAGGATGGCAGAGAGCCAGGGCAGAGAGAGACTGGACTTGGGATCAGCAGGCCAGGCAGGTCTTGTCCTGGTCCTGGCCACATGTCTTTGCTGTGGGACCTCAGACAAAACCCTGCACCTCTTTGAGCCTTGGCTGCCTTGGTGCAGCAGGGTCATCTGTAGGGCCACCCCACAGCTCTTTCCTTCCCCTCCTCTCTCCAGGGAGCCGGGGCTGTGAGAGGATCATCTGGGGCAGGCCCTCCACTTCCAAGCAAGCAGATGGGGGTGGGCACCTGAGGCCCAATAATATTTGGACCAAGTGGGAAACAAGAACACTCGGAGGGGCGGGAATCAGAAGAGCCTGGAAAAAGACCTAGCCCAACTTCCCTTGTGGGAAACTGAGGCCCAGCTTGGGGAAGGCCAGGACCATGCAGGGAGAAAAAGCAGACTTCCTCTGGCCACCGCTAAGTATTTTGTTCCCTAAGTCCCCCACAGGGTGGTGGAACAGAAGAGAAAACTAAGGCTCAGCAAGGTGGAGTCCTCAAGCAGTGACTGGTGGGGGTGGGGCTGGGACTCGGGCTCCTGACCCCCAACCCATGGTGTTCCCTGTCACCCTGGTCTATCCACATCTCCTATTCCTGAGGAGAGTTGACAGTAAGAGCAGTGAGAGATGGTTCTGGGCCCCATGCCCTAGACAATCAGTCTGTAAGAACTGCCAAGGAAGCCTGGTCACCCAGGCCAGGGATGGAGCCCAGCGAGCTCACAGCAGGCACATGCACCCCCGCCCCCACCCAGAACCTGCGGGGCAAAGAAGGGAGGTAGTTGGGGCCAGAGTCCACCTCCAGGAGCCAGGGTGAGCTGGCTGCAGCTTCCACCTGTCAGGTAAGGTAGGAGAAGGTATGTTACCTGGCATCTCTCTCCCTGCCTCCCTCCATTTAGCAGGAAGTGGTGGGGTCAGGGGTCTTCAGCACAGACTTCTTGAGCCTCTGCCCCCTGTCACCCTTCTTTTGGAATGATGTGTACCCACATCTTTGGATCCTGCCCTCCTTGTGGTTCCAGGCTGTTGGGAGGAGGTCAGCCTCCCCTGAACCAGCTGCCTGAGGCATGCAGCATCCTTCCTCGGCAAAGCCCACCTGGCTCACAGCGGCCCCCTCTCCCCATCCTGTTCCTCTTCTTGCCCTGTAATGAGCTCCCCCCATACCTTTCCTCCCTCACCTGAGGCTTTGCTGGTCCTCAGATTGGTTTTGTATTTGTGAGACAACCACTTGACTCCTGGGCTGCCAGGCGGAAGCACAAGCGCACATGGATGCACACGGATGTTCTCACACACACACGCCCGCTCTCACCAATTCACAGCACCTCGTGGTCCAGCGGAGCTGCCTGGGAGCTTGGTGAGGATGGCTCCAAAGGACACAAGCCGTTGAGTAGATGCCAGAGAATTCTGAATGGAAAACACAAGTCCGGGGCCTCACCAGCATCGTGGCAGAAGGCCTGGGGCATTTCTCCATGGGCCTTCTTCCCTGTGTTCGAGCTCTGACTTTTGGAAAAGGACATTGTGGATTTTATGAAAATTTCTCATACCATCAGTCTAGCTCCAACCTAGAAAAATTGGATGATATATCAAACCCAACATCCCTTTCCCAAGGCACCTTAGTTAAGGCTAGCCCTTCCATAACTGACATTGTACGGTGCTTTGCAATCCTCAACCACTCTGTGGAGCAAAGAGCATGATGCCTACTTTATAGACGGGGAAATTGACATTTGGGGCTCTCACGGCAACATAGAGGCGAAGTGAATTCTCAGATCTCCAGGCCCCATTCTCTCTCCACCGAGTTGTGCTCCTGTCATGGGAGTGTATGGCTTAAAGACACTCCCCCACCCCCATTCCCTAGAAATCCCCCAGACCCACAATCAGGCAAGAAAGAACAGGGACCCAGAGGCTGGCCTGACCTAGGGGCCTGCAGGTTGGCGGCTTTGTTTCCTAAGAACATTGAAACCTGCGGAGTCTTTGACCAAATCCACAACAGTGCTTCTGAGGTTTCATCCAGACTCTTTCCCAGCTGTCCCTGAGGTTCAGAGGGTATCAGAGTCAATTCAAGGCCATGCCATAATCCCTGACCAGGCCTGGACATGGGTCCAGCCCTGACTCCAGGGGTCCAGGTGCCAAGGTCATGTGCTGTCCCCCACTTCCCTTTCTTTGCCTTCGCACTTTGGAACAGGCTCCAGGCCTGGCTGTGACAGTATGCAGGAGTGCCCAAGCCAGGGCCACCAGGGTGTCCACAGCCCCTGGAAACACAGATCACAATCTCAAGTCCCCTGAATGAACTGCTTCCTGGGTGAACGGGGTGGTGTAGCCTTGCCACTCGGGCAGCGCACCAGACAGTACGGTGCAGCAGTGCCCGAGATGCCCAGAAGTGTGCCTGCCCCCCTGAGTGGCATTCAAGTATGAAAACTTGTAAAATTTTCTGTCGGCCTAAAGAAAAATGTCCATGGGCCAAACTTGACCCACTGGGCACCAGCCTGTGAGCCCCAATGCCTGTCAATTGCCCCCTTTCTCATTCACCTCCTGTCCTTTGTTGCAGATTTGGAGGAGATGGGAGCCCAGAGAGGTGAGAGATGTGCTTCAGGGTGTCCAGCAAGGCAGGGGTAGAAACGGGCACGCCCAGAGCCTGCCACTCTCCCAGGCCTCATCTTGGGCTCTTGCAAGTCTTGCGCTTTGAAGATGGAGTTGGGTGGAAGGTCAGAGGCGCTGGGGACGGGATTGGGGAGCTGCTGGGTTTTCAGGGGAGGTCAGTGCTGCTTGGGCACCTTTCACATGTGCAGGGAAGAGACTCAGATGTGGCCACAGGGCACTGAGGGGTGAAATCCATTTACCAGAAGTCACGCTCCAGAACGACTGCCCAGCCTTGGCAGCCAGTGGCTCCAGCCACCCCCTCCTCATGACATTCAGCCAGAATTGAGCTCCAAGCCAGGGAAGCAAATCTTAAAAACCAACCAAGCACCCTGACACAGCCCTAGAAACACGATGAGTCTGAAATACAGCTTCCCAGGAGGGGAGTCTAAGATACAGCTTCCCGGGAGGGTGGAAACCAACTCCTGCCCCACGGCCAGGCCAGGCCCAGGCAGGCATGGGTGGATCCCACAGGGCTCTGAGCTAGACCGGCTCCACGGTGGCCCCACTACGAGGCCAGTTCTGCAGTCTTGGCCTTGTCACCCATCGAGAGGCTGCTCTGATGGTTCCCAGCCACACACCAGCTCTCCTGGGGAAACTATTTCTTTCGTTCTTTTGGCCTCGGAGAGGTCCGAGGCAAGTACATTTCTTAAAAGGTAATAAAATGCATTATTGGAAAGTTGGACAGTCAGGCCACGACTCCTAGCCCACGGCGTGCCCCACCTCCCAGCAGCCCCTTCAGCCCCTTGCCCCTGTTGCCCCAAACCTCAGGGTTCCCTCTTGCATATTCATGGGGGAACCACAGTGCTGATGTGTACTTCCCCACTGTCAGCTCGGCTGCACCTCGTGTGGCGCCAGGTCCCAAGGGCCTCTGCAGAGGCCAGGCTGTGAGCCCCTTGCCTGCCTGCTCCCCTGATGAGGCAACAGCTTCTCTGAAATGAGCTGCCGGCCAGGAGCAGGCAGGCACCAGCCTGTCTTTCCTTTTCTGGTAATTCCTCAGCACTGAGGCTCCGTTCCTGGGCACCCCAGGATTGAAGGGAACCTCAGAATCATGTCACTGCCATTCTAGAGTTTCAATCCAAGGGGTCCCCTTTAGCTCATCTCCAAGATGGGTAAACGTAGCCACCATTCAGAAAGCCCAGAAATTCTTGTTCCCACATCTTAGACCCCTGAGCAACACAAGGAGAAAATGCAGCTGCTTACCTATTAATATCTACTGAGGGACAATCAGCAAAGCCTCAAAGGAGTCGTCTCAGGTAGGGTACTTGGCCTGTGGCAGGAGAGACAGAGGCACAAACCCACCCACCCATCAGCTTCCGGTGGCTGATCGGGGCCCAGGGAGGGAAGCAGGTGAAACAGCAGGGTGGGGGTGACTTGGCAGTCGTGCATCTCCTCCCCGACTCTGAGGCCTGGCAGGAGGAGGCCACACCAGCCTCACCTGCCCTGACCCCCGCCCCCCACCCTGTGACCCTGTGGCTATGGCCGCTGGTCGCCCTTGTCCCCAAAATCACCATGCCTGTGGCCACGTCCCTCATCTTCTCCAAAAGCATCATTAAGAACAAGTGATTTTGGATGATGGATTTTTGATTTACAAACGGCGCATTTCCCTTGGAGTGGAACAGAAAGGAAACCATTTAATGGCGCCCTTCTTTTCAAGCATGAATACATTTTAATGAAACTATTTTATTGTATTTGAGGAAATGGAGAGTTGAACATTCCAACCAATCAATAGCCAATTAATTGCTATAAAGCTAAAAAGAAAATAAATAAATCCTGAGTCTATTTTAAACACTGCAAAAAGTTCAGAGCCTCAGAATCTGGCCTTCCCCTCCATAAGGTGCACGAGCATGTAAACACACACACACACACACACACACACACACACACACTCACTCACTCCCCTACACCTCAGACATACTTGAAACTCAGAAACAGCACTGAGTCTCCCCATGCCAATTCTTGCCTGCTGTCTTCGACTTGGGTCAGAGAAGGTGAGCAGACCCGGCAGCAGCCTGTCCCGGGGCTCAGGAAGAGGCAGGCCCATCCCCTGGCCCCAAGCACCCAGCACAACAGAGGGTGGCGGGCAGTGAGGGCCTGGCGTTGCCTGGGCCCCACTTCTCAGCCCCAGCTGCTGGGCCTCCAAGGTTGGGCTGAGGATGGAGTTTTGGCTCTGGGTTTGCCCTGACTCCTGCTGGAAGACGCTGCCCTGGTTTTTCACCCTCTAGTGGCCTTGGACATTGAGTATTTGTAGAAATGCAGATTACATTGCAAATGGAAACCTTTGCCAGGAAGACACATGCATTTTGCTTTTAATTCTTTGAGACATTTGATTTTGTCTTAGGGACTGACCTTTCAGCATCAAAGAAATACATATCTACTGTATCCGCCAAAGTTTGTGATGCCTGCATAGACGCTTACTTGTAAAAAAAAAAAAATACAAAAAAATACAAAAAAACCAACAACAAAAACCACAATTGAATTGCCTTTGAAAGTGGGAGATGATCTGTCTCCAACGGATTGAAAAAAAAAAATGCTTCTTAAAAAATGTGTATGTTTTGTATTCTTTTTTTCTAGTAGAAAATAACTGACTTGAAATATTGGTGGTTTTTTTCTTAGTGACGTGTGTTGCTTTTGTGTGTAATAATATTTGAATGTAATTACAGCAGTGCCAATTTGCCAAAGATGTTGGACATATTTTTCTTTTTTGGGGAGGAGGGCAGGGCTAGGGGTGGGACTTGGGAGAAAACAGGGGTGGGGTTTTGGTTTAATTTTTTTTTTACTTTTTTTTCCTTGTCAAACCTGAAATTTGTGGCTTCCTTTTAAGTTAAATGGTTGACTGCAACACCTTTATTTTAGATTAGTTGGAGAAACATGCAATAAGATTGGCGTAGTTTCAATATCTGTGTGTCTTTTCATGAGTGGCTGTTACTTGTGAAGAATTGATTTTATGTAACCTTTATGTGAGATAATTATTTGTAAATATTTGCCATAATTTTATTGGTTCCTAAAATAAAAGTAATTTTTTAAGTTCAGAAAAAGAATTTGATCTTGTTTGTTTTTACTAGTTTGAGGATGACCTTTGACAACTTTGACTGTACCGTAGTCATGCATGGATTTGATTGTTTTGTCAAAACAAACCCATGTTGCAGAATTGGGCTGTGCCCTGGGCAGGGGACAGCAGGCACAGAATCCACCCTTGAGATGTCCCCAGGCTTGGCAGGTTGAGTCATGGGTGAGCCACCACTCTGGATTTGACTCCTAGCTGTGATTTAATGTCTACTTCTTCAGTTCCCAAATGGTAATTCCCACCTAATTCATTCATTCAGCACACACTGATTGAGCATCTATTCTGTCCCCAGCACTGGGGACACAGAAGTGAACAGGGCCAACCAGGACTCTGCTATCAGTGGCACAATCATAGCTCACTGCAACCTTGAATTCCTGGGTTCAAGCCACCCTCTTGCCTCAGCCTCTCAAGTAGCTAGGACTACAGGCGTTCACCACCAAGCCCAGCTAGTTTTTAAAATAATTTTTCCCTACTTACAAACTAACATATTATCAGCTAATTTTTTAAAACTTTTTGTAGAAACAGGCTCTCACTATGTTGCCCAGGCTGATTTCAAACTCCTGGCCTTAAGCCTTCCTCCTGCGTCAGCACCCCCAAAGTGCTGGAATTACAGGCATGAGCCACCGCCCCCATCCCATATGTGCTTTTCACTTTGATCCTGTCGAGCCTCCTGGAACCTAAAATGCCTGGATCCAGACAGAACTCAGAAGCCATTCACACCAGGAGACCTCGCCTCTGGGCCCCAAAGCCACAGGCCATATCCAGTCAGACCTCGGAGAGCAAGAGTCCACAATCCTTCTGTCCTGTCCTTAAGCCTTTGGAACTGAAAATTTCAGGTGCAAAGGAGCCCAGAGGTGGCTTTTCATCAGCGGGTAGGGCAGCTGCAGACTTGAGCTCTGCCCCTGCCGGGCGATGTCAGAGTGTGCAAGGGCAGGCAGGGACCGCTGCGCCCGTTGGCACAGTGTGCAACTCAGTAATTGCCAGAGATGGAGTGGGCGAGTGACCGCGTGGGGGCCGTGGACAGCAACTCATTCATATTTAATAAAGCAGCTGCACGGCCTCCATTCATTTCTGCAATGGATGGTGGCGAAGGTGATTCCTGAGGGAGAGAGGGTGAGCCATGGCAGAGTGCTGGCCTGGCTCCTCCCTTCTCAGTGCTCCTGACTTACAGCACAAACTTCAAAGAGAAGTAGGCATGTTTTTTTAACTGAAATCGGACCCCAAACCTATGAACTGGTGAGGCAGGGCAGCTGCTTCGTTTCCTGACACTGTGGCTCTATCCTTGGTTTTCTGGGGACAGAAGCCTCAGACCTGCCCTCCCCAGAAACAGGGCACCAGTCTCTGCAGTAAGCAGGGCATGTGCAGCCCCCACGTGACAGCAGAATGGAGGCAGTGGGCAAGGCCTCCAGGTATGGAGGTGGAAGTACCAACCCTGACAGCCTCAGGCAGCCTCCAGCAGCCCCTCCGCACTCAGGGACAGTGAAAGAGGAGCAGAGACAGAAGAGTGAGATCTGCCATGGGAGGTGTTCCTCGAACTCCCCAGGGAGCCAAGCCCCATGCTGGGTGCTGGGGACGGAAGAAACCCCTGGGGGAGTGAGACTGCTGCAGGGCAGAAAGATCAAGCCTCCTGCAAGCCATGCCTGGGAGTCTCAGCTCTAGGTTTTGATGGTCAGTTTGCTGATATAAGCAGTCTCTTAACTTCTAGAAGCCTTGATTTCTTCAGCTGTGTAATGGGTATAAACCTGATAATACTTACCTCAAGAGTGTTATGAGAAACAAGTGTTATGCATTGTGTAAAAGTTTTTCCAAATGACAAATGGGAGTTTTCCCAGGATGTCTTCTCCACTGTAAGGAAGTCAAAATTTTACACCTCAAGGTCAAATTCTAGTCAGAACCTCCTCTGTGCTGGGTGCAGGAGGAGGATAGAATGCAGAAATGAACCAACCAGGAGCCTGCTCTCTGGGGGCAGGTGATGTGTGTATTTTAATTCTAGGCATCACATGGCCAGTATCACCTACAGCTGGAGGAGGCAAGGAGGTGTGGTCTCAGGAGGGGTTCCTTTCAGTTGTGGGAGGGGTAGCCAGAGAAGGCTTCCTGGAAGAGATGGCTTTTGAGCTGAGCTGTGAAGGGTGGGCAGAATCTTAACAGGAAATTTTAGAGAGGGCAGGAAGGGAAGGCATTCCAGGCACAGGTAACAGTGTGAACAAAGCCCCACAGATGGGAAAATGGGTGTGTTGGGAGGAGATACTGAACCATTTACCTCTGAGTTAACCAGGCACTGTGGCCTTTTCCCCAAGCCTACCTTCTGAGGCTCTGTGGGTGCCACCAGGTCAAAGGTAAGGGGTAGCTTGGGTTCTGGATCAAGGTGAGGGCTAGCCTAGGCTCATGTCATTTCCTAGCAGATGGGGTTCCTCAAGGAGGAGAGGAGGTGGCAAATGCAAGCAGAGGCTGACATCTTCCTTAGGAGGCAGCGAAGGGGAGCGTGTTTCAGATGGGGGTGGGAGCAGATGGATTTCCAGCCCCGCAGATCCAATAGCTGTGGAGCCTCTTGGCCAGCTGTGTGGTGATGTGGGGAAGGGGACCCTTCTGGCCGACTGAGCACTGCTGTGGCCTCCTCAGCACACTGCCTCAATAGCTGTCTCTGGGAGGGACGCATGGCCTGCAAAGCCCCACAGGAGGAGGCCATCACTAGGAAGCACGCTCTGCAGGAGACACAGCTGCTATGATTTTAGACCACTGAGGCCTTTAGCACCCCAGGTGATCTTAGTGATTTATTTATCTACATGTCCTGATTTTTCTTCAGTGCACGTGCATTACACACAATTTGAAGATAATTTTTAAAAGTTGACGTTGCTCTCCTTGCTTGGTCTTCCCAGCAGATCGTGATGGGGGCCTCTGCAAGCTCCACTACAGACCAGCTCTGAGGACGTTTAGCAAAGAACCTGCCTGTGTGAGTCTGTTAGGGTACAGAGCACAGGAACACACACTGGGTGGCCGAAACAATTTATTTTCTCGAAATTCTGGGGCTGGAAGTCCAAGATGAAGGTGTCAGGCAGGGTTGGTTACTTCTCAGCCTTCTCTCTGTGTCTTCACACCTCCTTCCCTCTGGATGCGTCTGTGTCCTAATCTCTTCTTACACAGGCATCAGTCACCCTGGATTAGGGCCCACCCTAAAGACCTCATTTTAACTTCATTACCTCTCAAAGACCCAGTCTCCAAATACAGTCACATTCTAAGGTACTGAGGGTTAGGACTTCAACATATAAATGTGGGGGTGACACAATTTAGTCCATGACACCATTTGAGAAGAAGGAGACCCCCAGATCCTGAGAGCAGTCCCAGCTGGGACCTGCTCTTCACCCATCAACACTACCTCTGCCCGTGCTATGCCACCCCTAACCCCAGTGACACCTGCCCCTGTTTGTCCAAAGCCAGAGGCTTCTGCCCCTCAGATCTGAACTCCCAAATGTGGCCCCCAGGAAGATCCTTACCTCATACCTTCCATCCAAAAAAATTCCTAGTGGAGCCAAGAGTTTCTTTAAAAAGTTTTAAATAGAATGAATGGGGTTATAGATGAATATATTTCAAACTTCCATATGAAATATGACTTTATAAGCTTAAAAAGATGGAAAAGTCTCAAAGGACAAGATTGAAATATTTAATCTTATGATTTTCTTTTTTTAGTTTTATGTATCCAAAAACATTTAACAAAATACAAAGATAAAGAAGTTGGAAAAATCTAAAGAATGTGAAAAGGCATAATGCCTTTAATACATGAAAAATGTGCATGCAATTTTATGAAAAATCCTACCACCCTCAATAGAGACATGGGTAAAGGTATCCACAGAACACTCATAAATGAGCACAATGTTCAATCCGACACTGAAAACACTATTTGACTTCACAAAAATCATTTTTTAAAAACACCTAGTGCTGGCGAGGGCGAGAAGAAATGAACACCCATCTATCCGGCCACTGAGCTGTCTTACAATATGAGGCCAAGGCTGCTGTTACTCTCTAACCCCAGCTGGGTTGGGTGGTTCATGCCTGTGATCCCAGCTACTCAGGAGGCTAAGGTGAGTGGACTGCTTGAGGCCCAGAGTTTCAGATCAGCCAGGGCAACATAGCAAGACCCTATCTCTAAAAAACAAACAAACAAACAAATCTCTAGGCCTAGGTGCTGGCCCCAGGGTACCTGGAGGGGCTAGAACTTGAAAGGGTTGGAGTGGGGATCCTGCAAGGGGCCTGACCACTCCCAGTGCTGTGGTTTTTCCCTGGGGCTGGCTGCCTGCAGTCACAGGATGACATTTACAGCCCAGGTCAGGTGGGAAACATGGCGTTTCAAGCCCAGTGGTGTCATCTGGAAGGGCATGCAAGCAGCAGAGGTTCCCACATTATCCACAAACATGTGTAAATATCGCGACGGCGCATAATGCAACCAAGAAAATCACTTCCCGTTGTTTCCCCTTCAGTGATATTTTCTGCTTGGCTGAGTTTGCTTAGCACACTAGAAAGGCCAACTCATCAGTTCTTGTTGTTAATCAAGAGCAGTAATTGTCCGAGTTCAAAGCCTCCTGACTTAGACTCTGCTGAATAGGATAACAAGTTCCAAAAATGCTAAGTAGTAGTTTCTATAAATGGGCTTTTTTAATAGGGAAGGCCCCTGAAGAGGGTTTGGAAAGAAAACCTTTCTGTGAAGTGGAATTAAAACATTGTGCAGACTTTATAGAGCATGGCAAATAAACTCCTAAAACTCCTAGAAGCTCTTAAAGCATGGACATTGTGGATGCAGACTCATTTTCTCATTCACAGTGCAAACTGGTATATTGGTTAAGGCGATATCAACTGATGTAAGAAACATATCCCATACCTTCAATGTCTTAACACAATAAAAATCTGTTTCTCACTCACATGTCAGCCTTGTGAGACCCAAGGAGAGGACCCACATAAGTCATACCCCATGTTAAATGTAGCATTCCTGGTAGGCAGGCAGCCTTCCACAAGGTGACTCAGGGATCCAGCCTCCTTTCTTGTTTTAGCTCCGCCGTCTTCAACCTT